>NT_187650.1:0-300000 GCF_000001405.40 Homo sapiens
GAATTCCTGAACTGTTAAAAATAATAACTCTTGTTTGTGTCATTCTCCAAAGTTTTAAAATAAAATTAGATCATTGTGCCCAAACCAAAAAGTTCTGAAGTCATTGAAGTGATGGAATCATAGGATGCACTGCAGGGGCTGAAATTCCAAACCTTGTAGGGACAGGAAGGTAACGTGAATGTATGAATCGGACTAAATGTGGATAGCGGGGAAGAGTGGGTTCTGTGGAAAACTAGAAAGAATATGCTTCTAAGGATGTTCAAATTTGGATTTAGAAAACAAATACCAAGCCTGCAAAACAGGAGACCTGGAATAAATTATCAGCTTTGAAAAAATCAGAGTTTGAAAAAATATATTAATTCTTATTTCAGAGACATCCATGTAATTCAGTGTCTTTCACAAGGCAGACAAAAAGATCTTAGGAGAGAGAGACAAAGGAAAATAGAAACAAAGAAAAGGTGTTAAGTTTCTAAAAAACAGACACTGTGTTGGGCTTTGAACATATAGAATAGCATGAATTCTCACCATGACTACCTGCAGTAGCCAGTATTATTCCCACTTCATGGATGAAAGATTCAATCTTAGAGAGTTTAGGTAACTTGTAACAGTAGAAAAGCAAGAATTTAATTACAAATCCTATGTTCTCTTCTCTATACTAAATGTATGAACTCAAGCAAGTTATTTATCCTCTTTATTCTTCATGTTTTAATGGGCATAATAATGGTTTATTCACTAGAATATTTTAAGAATTAAAGTTAATAATTGTAAAAATTCTCACAGAATTTTTTTTATGTTTGTTGAATATGAAAGTATGATAATTACTTTTGTTGAGCAACTATCAGCATAGCAGATGTTTGAACTGTTTCTGCAGAGGGATTTGGGCAAGACACCTTTTATTCTTATACCTGGGTTTTATTGTGAAGTTATATCCAGTTAAGCTTGTGAGAATTTGGAGTGCAGCCTGCAGTTGTATGATGGCTGAGGAATACAGGAACATTGTGGTTACTGTAAACATGAGAGTAATAACTGCAAACTAAGGAATAACAGTATATTAATCAGGATCCTCCAAAGAAACAGAAGTGTGTGTGTGTGTGTGTGTGTGTGTGTGTGTGTAGAGAGAGATTATTTGTAGGGAATTGGCTGCCACAGTTATAGAGGCTGAGAAGTCCTGTGATCTCTAGTTGGCAAGCTGAAGTCTGGAGACCTTGCAGAGCTGATGGTATAGTTCCAGCCTGTCTGAAGGCCTGAGAACCTGGAGGGCTGATGGTGTGATTTACAGTTCAAAAGCCAGTGCGCTCAAGACCCAGAAGATCTAATGTTTCCATTTGAGTCAGAAGCCAGGAAAAGACTGGTGATGTTCCAGCTCAAGCAGCCGGGCAGAAGGAGTTCCCTTGTTCCACAAGAGGGCCAGACTTTTTGTTTTATTCAGGCCTTCAGTTGGTTGGATAAGATTCACCTACATTAGGAGGACAACTGGCTTTACTCTATCAATTTAAATGTTAGTCTCCTCCTGAAACTCTCACAGCCCTCACAGACATACCAAGAATAATGTTTGGCTTAATATCTGGGCACCCTGTAGCCCAGTCAAGTTGACACATAAAAGTAATCATGACATATGGTAATGTGTAATAGGATAAGCTGTAATGAGTTAGGAAATGGTCTGATGTTAACAAAATAATAAAGAAAGCAAATGTGTTGAATGCCTGTGGGAACTTGTAACGAGATAGTCATGCACATGGTGAAGAAATTTGTTAGCTGAAGAAGTTCAATACACTGGCTCCTCCAAGATAACTTTCCCACAGGAAACTTTGGGAGCTACTCAGGTATTGCATCCTCTGGGAGTAATTAACTGTTCACTAACAGGAGGTTTGCGTGTAACCAGCAACAGCAGGTAAAATTTCAGGTGCTTCTATCAAAGAACTAGAGAGATAGCTCAGCCACTGCTGGATCCTGTGCGAGGATCCCTGGGGAATGCACCTTCCCTGAGGTATGATGTGACACTTACAATATACACTGATGTATAGTGTATACGTTTTATTGAGTTGGAGCCAGATGGGGTCTATTTACTCCCAGTTGATTTTCAGAATCATCATTTTTATATATTCTCAACAAACCTGTCCCTTTCTCTCCTCGTGGTAACCACCTGGCACAACTCTATCCCTTGTAAATCCAGCTCTCCACAGAGCTGAGTGTGGCTGGAGAAGCCCACAGTGACGCTGATTGCTCTTCCCTTACATTCGTGATCACTAACCGGGGCTGGCTGCCTGATTTGCAGGGCCCAGGGCAAAATGAAAGTGTGGGGCTGTTCGTTCAAAAGACATTTTTAAAAAGCCTCATTAAATGCACTAAAATCTAAGGTGTTTTCATTTTCAAAATAATTTGTGACTTATAAACCATAAAGCAGGCAACAGTGACACACGAGAAATAACATAAACTTACAAATTGCAAAAATTATGTGTGACTCCACAGTCACACACATTAAGCCACCAATGCAGCTGGCCCTGTCGCTAACCGCTAGTAGGCTCCTAGCACACCTGCCATTCTAATGCCTTCCCTCGCTCATTCATGTTTCTGGGAGGCTCCTTCAGATTCTCTCTCCTCTTAAGCCTCTAATGTTTTCTCTCCCATCCTCACTCTCAGTTAATGACTTTGGGGTATATGTCACTGAAAGAAAAACAAATTTAAGCCAAAACCAGAATAAGATGAGAGCTTCTGCAAACTGCTACTTCCTCATCACCCCCCACCTGGATCTATGTCCAAACACTGTCTTCCTTTTTGTTACCCATAAGTTAAACTGGAGCACTAAATCCCAATGTCTCTCTCGAATTCCAGCAATTCTCCTTCTACCTCCCACAATGTCGACTTTTCTGTCTCTACTGGAGTGTTCCTATCAACATGCACAGTTGAATTTTCCCATCTGGCACTACCTGTCCTGATCTTATGTTCCTTTCAAACTACTGCACTATTTCTGCTTTCTTCAGAGTGGAATTCTTTGGAAGGGTTTTCATATTTACCATCTCCAATTTCTGTCTTCATTTTTCCTCTCAGATCCACTAGGTCTGACAGTTTCCTCTGTCCTTTCACAGAAATTGCTCATTTCAAAATGTGAATATCTTCCATGTTGTTATAGCCCATGATCAATTCTTAACCCTCTTCTCACTTAGCCATGAATAGCATTTGCACAGCTGGTTGTTGCCTGACCCTCAAACACTTTCTCACTTGGCTCCATGACACCCCAGACTTCTTGGTTTCCTTCCTTCATCGTTGGCCTCATTTCTCCCTCTGCTTTGCGGTTCCTGCTGTTCACCCTGTGCTTTACACGCTGCAACAGCTTAGGGGCTAGTCCTCTGACATCTTCTCTACCCGCATGTACTCCCTTAGGGATTTCAAACAGTCTCATAGCTTTAAGCACCATCCATACACTGACGACTCCCAGATTCAAAGGTTTAGTCCAGACCTTACCCTTGAACTCCAAATGGGTATACCCACGTACCTAGGAGATAATCCTTACACTCCCTTCTTTCTCCACTATGCTTAATTTAATCTGTCAGAACGTCTGTGATTCTACCTTCCAAATAGATCCATAACCTGACCCCTCTTCACCACTCATCTTGCTACTCCTGGTCCAAGTCACCTCCACCTTGCACTTGGATTATGGCAATAGTCTCTTAACTGTTCTCCCTCTTCCACTGGTTCTTCTTAGTCTTCTATTCATTACGTAGGGATCCTGTTAAAAGACAGGTCTGGTAATATCAGTCCTTTGTAAACATGTCCAATGGCTTCTCACCACAATCAGTAAAAACCAAAAACCCTCCATCTGGTGGCCCCCAGCCCCTTCCTTCTCCACCTCACATGTGCTTCCTTTGCTCACCCTCTCTTGACTGCTTCCTGCTCTTCAAACGTGTTAGGTTATGCTCCTTCCTCTGGGCCTCTGTCTGCAACATCCTTTCTCCAACATCTTTGTGGGTGGCTCTCTCACTTCTACAGGTCTCGCTCATGGGCCTTCTGGCGAGCCCTTCCCTGATCACGGTGCTTGCATGGCAGGCTGGCACTCTGTCTGCCCTGTTTAGTTTTCTTCACGAGATCAGAAAGTCCTGTTTGTCTTGTTTACTGCTTTATGACCAGGGCCTAGAAGCACTTGGCACAACTAGGCATTCAGTACAGATTTATTAATTGAATGAGTAAATAGCAGTTGTGAATCAGAACACAATGGAATCTATGTCTCCAAAACTTTGTGATGAATAAAACTGGCTAAAATATGAGAATTTTATGTACCTTAGTCACATATCATAAGATTTTCTAAGTAGAATTCATACTTGGTTGCATGTCCTAAGATCTTTTTAGGGAGGTTTCCTCTTTCTAAGGGGATTCAAAGATATCAGTGAAACCTGAAAATTGTCTTGGGTTAAGTAGTGCATTGTGGAGTACCAAATGGCATGAAAGAACAAAACTGCTGTCACTGTGACTGCCATAGTCAATGTCAATGTTGGATATGACTGCATGAGCTGACAGCCCCTGGAGCATGTGAAATATATGAAATGCACACTGGACATAACAGAGCATTTTTGCAGGGAGCTGGACCAACTCTTTTATGTGACTAAGATGCTATTTGCAATTTATATAAAGGAAAAAAGCAAATATGCTCCATGCAGTGCCTAAAAGAGCCCTAGTGGCTTCAGGGTAGAAAGCCATCCCACTTCTCTTCAGCAGAGCATGAAATCAACCTACTACCTTTTATCAGGTTACTTACATAAAGGAATTGTGCCTATTAATAAAACATCATGCATCTTGTTTCTCCAAGAGCAATGATAACCAAACTCTCCTTTCCCGTTCCCTCTTCCTTCCTTCTCTGGGGTCAATTTTTGCTGCCCTGTGTTCTGTTCAGCATGCATTAGCCATGAGGATCAGATTGTTAGTCCAGATGACTTTGAAGTAGTTTTTCTTATGGTAAGGTTTTCTCCTAAGTCTGTAGCATAGAATCCTTGTTTTGGGGTTGATCCATGCCTAACCTGAAGATGATAGAATGCAAATTCTGCTTTACATTTGTGTATATAAATATTGCATCAGTCACATGTCCATTTTGGTGGCAACATCGTCTGTGGTTTTCTTAGCTGCCCTGGGATCAGATTTGCTTAATCATGTTCCCTTTTCTTTCAGGTTGTGCTTGGCTTCTTGCTGCCCACACCTACTCCATGATTTCGTGCTAATTTCTGCCCTTCTTCTCAGTTAGTGAAAGCTTCCCCGCACTCATTATCAGCACACTTGAATGTCCACTTAGTGTCAGACGTACAATTTTTAAAGTGAGAATTTCATCCAGGACTTTTACAAAGCCTCTCATGTGGCCACAGACTGCAGTTAAAAAACTAGCCTGTTAGAATGGTCACCTTGACATCATAGTCCAGAAGTGTCCCAATAATGGATGTGCAAAAAAGGAGTTAAAAAATGAGAACACCAGCCCACAAAGAATGGTACCACCCAAGCATTTGGACCAAGTCCACAGTTTTTATGTTTTTGTGCCACATAGCATAGACAGCCTAATATATTTAAAGTAACACTTAAAATGTACTTTAGGGATTCAAATTTTAGCTCCTTGTTTCTGTTTGCTAATACAGAACATAAATTTTGAAAAAATAAACTTTTAATTGAAAATTTTACAAAAAGTAAAATAAAAAACTGCTTATATTTCCATCCAAGGGAAAGAAGATACACATAGTAAATACTTTAAAAGTATGTATATTCTTTCACCCGCTTTTAGGATTTATCCTAAGTATAACTAGCTGTTTTATAAAGATGTTCATCATCATTATTTACAGTAAGAAAAAATGAACCTAAATGTTGACAGAATTCACGGAGTGAGCTATGGTGCCTGCACACAGTGGGGAATTACGCAGGACTGAACACTATGTTTAAAAGCACTTTTAATGGCATGTCAAACACTTACTCTAATATGGAAAATACAGTGATTTCGTGGATATACAAAAACATCCTCATTTTTGTGTAATCGTGTATCATATATGATCCTAAGTACGTAATACTAAACATGAGAAAAAATGCTTGCTAAAAACAGACCAAAATGTAGAGGGCTGCCACTGTGTGGTGTGATCGGGTGACTTTTTGCCTTTTAATTTATATTTTTGTTGGCACAGAACATTGTTCTCATGTGCCCGAAGAGATTTAAAGATGATCTTGAGACAATTAGCCTCCTCTCAGAGTCCTGCCGGGGTAGGTAACAGGGAAGATTGGGGCAGGTCAGAGGTGACTCCGGGACGTTTGTGCTTGGTGCCCTGCTGCGAGGGACAGCGGCTCCGCAGCTCCAGCCCACTGTTCGTCACAGGTCCTTGGTGACTGTCTTACCAGTTATTTTCAAATTCAAGATAAAACGGAAATACAGACTTTCACATAAAACTGTCTACATTTAACTACCAGCAATTACATTTTTTGTCGTAAAACAAAGGGTAAGTCAAACAAAACGTCTAAGAGTAAATCTGTCTACAGTGTGTTCAGGAAATGAACACAGGTCAGGTTTATGTGGAAGATATCCAGGGCGTAGCACATCTGCTGGAAGCATTTCAGTCATGAGCACAGCTGGGTATTGGCCGTGAACCTGGTGTGCACTGAATACACACCCCGTGGCCCCTACAGTGCATTCCCTGTGGATAGTTTATTAGGTTTCCTTTATTCCCTTCATCTATTCTTCCCTTTCCTTTCTTCCTTCCTCTTTTTTTGCCTCCCTCTCTCTCTTCCTGTCTTTATTAAATATATGGGATGCAGATTTGATGAATATGTCAATCAAAGATCACCAAGAAGTCTTAAACAGGTAAACCACAGAAAACAGTCAGGATCAGAATAAGAACACTGTTTAGTGGTTCTCAAGCTTTTTGTTCTCAGAACTTCTTTATAATCTAAAATGTGTTGCACCCCCTGAAAAGCTTTCACTTTTATGGGATAAAAATAAATATTTATAAAATATATAGTAAAAAATATAAATATATAAATAAATTTATGATTTGTTTATATAAATATGTATATAAAACCATATTTATCATACTAAGATTTGAAATGGACAAATATTTAAAATATTTATTAGTTAATTTTAAATAATTACCAACCTTTCAAATAAATAACATTTTAATGAAAATTAAAAAAAATTAAATTCCGCCTGGCGCAGTGGCTCATGCCTGTAATCCCAGCACTTTGAGAGGCCGAGGCGGGCGGATCATTTGAGTTCAGGAGTTCGAGACCAGCCCGACCAACCTTGTGATACCCCATCTCTGCTAAAAATCCAAAAAAATTAGCTGGGTGTGGTGGCGGACACCTGTAGTCCCAGCTACTCGGGAGGCTGAGGCAGGAGAATTGCTTGAACCTGGGAGGCAGAGGTTGCAGTGTGCCAAGATGGTGCCACTGCACTCCAGCCTGGGAGACAGAGCAAGACTCTGTCTCAAAAAAAAAAAAAATTAAATTCCAATTTAATTTTTATTTTAATTTATTTAGTTCTAAAATTATATTTAATTTTGTAATTTATTTTAATCGTATATTAATCACATTTATTTTAAAACCAAATAAATGTGTTGAGAAGAGAGAAATTGTTTTACATTTTTGCAAATCTCCTTAATGTGTAGCTTAATAAAAGATAACTCTACTATTCTGTTTCTGCATTTAATCTGTTATGAAGTCACCTATCATGAATCTTCTGGAAAATTTCATGTATATTTGTGAGAGAATGAGGGTAAAAATGGCGAATAACATCTTAGTATTATTATAAAAGTCATTTTGGCCTCCTGTTGCCACTGAAAAAGTCTCAGGATGTCCCAGGGGACTTTGGCCCACACTTTGAGAATCAATGTTCAGGCTCCTTTCTGAGCTGATTATGTAGCTGAGCACGCTGAACGTCATGTGATTGAGAACCTGCCCCTTCCAGCCTTCATCTCTTCCATTAGCTTCCCTAAACCATTCATTTTTTAGGGCATTATTTTCTATCAAATACAAACACCAGTGGAAGACAGAACACATGAAGCCATTAGTAGTTTAATGCCTTAATGTGAATAAATTTAATTCATTTCAATTTGAGAGTCCATGGGGTCACAAAGGAGATGAAAGAGAAAGTACAAGAGCCAGACATAAGGTTGGAAAGAACCCTGTCCCCAGTGAAAGGCCAATTTTTTCTTTCACAGCATCGTCTTGGAACAACCTGCTTTCTGGATTCTTAGCTCACAAGTTTGAAAAGGAGCCATTCCCTGATCTATTTTAATTGCTTATCTTCAAAAACTGTCTGAACTACGGTACCCTGTGGCTACTACCTTCCAATTTAGGACTCAGGTTTCCAGGAAAAGAAAAGAGTTACAACTACTAATAAAAGTCAGTCAAAGTAACTGCTCCTCTTTGAAAGTTTCAGCTCTTATTTTAGATATGGGGGTTCACATGCAGGTGTGTTACATGGGTGTATTACACCCAGCTAGTGAGTATCGTACCCCTGGCTAGTTTTTCAATGCATGCCCCTCCCTTCTTTGCCCCGCGCAGTCCACAGCGCCTGTTGTTCCCATGTGTACGTCCATGTGTGCTCAATGCATAGCTTGGAGCTCCCACCTATAACTGAGAACATGCAGTGTGTAAACCCCACTAATTTCTATGAAAAAGTATTTCTGTTGATAACCCTGCAGGAAGCTCTTTATTAATGTCTTCATCCTTTAAACCTACTTAGCCCTATGCTGCTTTAGTCACCTGTACTTTTTTTAAAAACTGTTTTTTTCTCTCATTCTGACTTACTTATCCTTACATACATTGCTATTTCTTCATTCCTAAGGAAGTACGCATTCGATTTAAGCATCTGTGCTGAGATAAAATTAAATTCTAGTCTTTTTTAATGGGGCAAAATGGAAATATAATCTCAGGTAATGCTTTCCAGTTCAGCTTACTGCTGGTTTTTGCAGATGGAATTATAAACATACTTAATCAGAGGGAAATTCCAATACACTTTAGCCACAGGATATTCGTGCCTTTGCATGGGAAGAATTGATCTCTCCTCAAGCTAGCTGCAACCTGCGTCTTCTGAGGGAAGAGCTGTCTTCACCTGCGTGGGATGAATTTGAGGGATCACTGGCCTTGCCGTCTGAGAGTGCGGTCCCTGAGCTGGGAGGATTCTGCTGAGATTAGGTCATGCGATCAGCCTGAGGTTGCGACCATGGGGGTGAGCTCAAATTATAGTTTTGGTACCATGCCTGAGTTTAGTCGGCAAAAGTAATTCACACCAGAGGGGGAATGTGCAAGAGGTCAATAACAGAATGAGAAATCAGGGGCAGGGAAAATGCAGGTTGTGAAAGACGATGAAGTGATGATTAGAGGCAGGCTAGGGTGGCCTACCAGTGGTGAAGTCCTGGGAGTGAAGAAGACGTTTGCTTCATAAATAAAGAAAGTCTTCTGTGCTGCAGGAGAATCAACTGTTGAGAGGGGTGAACGGATGCAGAGTAGTTTCCCTGTTACCACGTCCAAACAGACGTTTATTTGCTGGTAACTGCCATTTCAAAAATACCACCGGAATACTCACTATTTAAATGTTTTTATTACACCACAACTTTGGAAAACATCTCTAAGCCAGGCATATAAGCCAAGGTTACATAGTATGTCAGGAAAGGTATAACCATTAAATTATTTAACTGTGTTTTGTCTATGATTTTTAAGAAAAAAATCTATATTTTCTGCGAGTAGTGAGCAATACTTATCAATTGGTTAGTCACTTGTGTCTGCGAGTTTCATCACCAGCATGATCGGAAAGGTATCTCCCCTCAGCTTCATTTGCAGAGAGGCCTGAGTCGCTCTCAGCCTCCCCCATTTCTGCGCTGCAGCTTCTGGGGAGCCCCTGACACCACAGACCCCAGAGCAGCCCCTGCCGACAGCGTGCCTGCTCCGGACAATCCCGAGCTAAGGATCTGTTAGTATTAACCGGGATTTTCTGTCTCGTATAACGCATGGAGCAGTGTTTCTTAAAGAATGAATTTGTGAAGAAAATGCACAGCTGCCCCAAACACTGTAGGCACTGAACGAGCACTCATGGCTTCTCCCTTTGCAGAAATCTCTGTGGACTCTCCTGTTCGTGGGAGGAGTGCCTTTTTCTGGGGTGCAGTGGCTTCCTCTCCATGCTCACCTCGCACACTCCCGGCTCTGCCTCTGCCCTCGGGCCACCGGTCCCCCAGTCGTGCCACGTCCCTGCTGCCTGAGGGGATGCTTGCACGGCTCCCTCTGCCGGGACTTTCCACCTAGATGCTCGGCCTTGACCCCTCACTCACATACCCTTTTCTGCACAACTCTTTCCTGAGTCTCGACACCATCCTACACTCACAGAGTACTGCACGCCTTTCTGACATAGCCGTGTGTCGGTGTGCTGTGTGAAGTGTTTTTGTGTATATGACTACTTGCATGTTACAGCAGTGTGTCAGTGTGCTGTGTGAAGTGTTTTCGTGTATCTATCTACGTGTAATAGCGTGTCAGTGTGCTGTGTGAAGTGTTTTTGTGTATATATTTGTTATAGCAGCGTGTCAGTGTGCTGTGTGAAGTGTTTTCACGTGTATATGACTATTTGCGTGTTATAGCCATGTGTCGCTGTGCTGTGTGAAGTGTTTTCATGTGTATATGACTATTTGCATGTTATAGCAGGGTGTCAGGGTGCTGTGTGAAGTGTTTTCATGTGTATATGACTATTTGCATGTTATAGCAGGGTGTCAGGGTGCTGTGTGAAGTATTTTCATGTGTATATGACTATTTGCATGTTACAGCAGTGTGTCAGTGTGCTGTGTGAAGTGTTTTCGTGTATCTATCTACGTGTAATAGCGTGTCAGTGTGCTGTGTGAAGTGTTTTTGTGTATATGACTATTTGTTATAGCAGCGTGTCAGTGTGCTGTGTGTTTTCATGTGTATATGACTATTTGCGTGTTAAAGCCATGTGTCGCTGTGCTGTGTGAAGTGTTTTCATGTGTATATGACTATTTGCATGTTATAGCAGGGTGTCAGGGTGCTGTGTGAAGTGTTTTCATGTGTATATGACTATTTGCATGTTACAGCAGTGTGTCAGTCTGCTGTGTGAAGTGTTTTATGTGACTATTTGCATGTTACAGCAGTGTCTGTGTTGTGTGAAGTGTTTTGGTGTATATGACTATTTGCATGTTTTCTGCACACTAGATGGAGTGCAGAGTGTGTTGCCTGTTTTTCTCCACCGCTCCATCCTCAGTGCCTGCTACGGTGTTGGACACACAGTAGAGGTTCAGTAAATGCTAATGAACAGTCGATTAAATGAGCAAAAACCTTTATTGAATACCTACCATGTTCCAGACATGGCTAACTGATGAGAATTTACCAATTACATGCTTGCTGCCTTCAGGGAACTCGACCTCACAAGACAGACTGTCACGTAGAGACAACTGCTACACAACATGGGAAGAACTGCTATAGAGATGTAAAGATGTAAAGACCCAAAATGAAGAAGCCAGAACACATGAACACGAAACCAGCCAACCAACAAACACAAGCAGCATGGAGCATAGAGTCTGGGGACCAACTGCAGGGTGCTGAGGAATGCAGGTGGAGGCAGAGTGGAAATCACCTGAGTTTCCATCAGGCAGAGTTGCGCTTGAATTTGAGTTCTGGCATTTGCTGAGCCTCTCTGATTCTGTCTTCTGTAAAATAGGAGTAATAATATTTATTTATATCTACCGTACAGGCAATTGTGAGATTTACTTAAGACATACTTTGTCCATTTTTCTGTTGCTTATAACAGAATACCTGAAACTAGGTGACTTATTTTTAAAAAGCTAATTTCTTAGAGTTATGAAGGCTCAGAAATCCAAGGATGGGGGTCTGCAGCTGGTGAGGGCCTTCTCGCTGATGGGAAATCAGAAAAGCCCTAAGGTGGTTCAGAGAACCACATGGCAAGGGGGCCGAGAATGCTAGCGTGTTAGCTCAGATCTCTCTTCTTCTTATAAGGCCACCAGTTCCTCTCCCATGATAACCCATTTATCCATTAACCCATTAGTTCTTTAATCCATGAGTAGATTGATTCATAAGGGGATAACCCCTGTGATCCAATCACCACTTAAAGGATGCCCCTCTCAATACTCCCATATCGGGGACAGTTGCAACACAAACAAATTAAGATGGCCTATTAGACACCCTAAATCTTACATCTTAAGGTGTTCTGTGATGTTGCAGTTCAACCCCCTCTCATTCCTCTCTACTCTTTTAGCAGTTACAAACAAACAAACTCACTCACCAAAGAAAACACCAAACAAACATACATCCAATAGTATTGTGTCCGGAATTGGTGGGTTCTTGGTCTAACTGACTTCAAGAATGAAGCCACGGACCCTTGCGGTGAGTGTTACAGTTCCTAAAGATGGTGTGTCCAGAGTTTGTTCATTCAGATGTTCAGATGGGTCCAGAGTTTCTTCCTTCTGGTGGGTTTGTGGTCTAACTGGCTTCAGGAATGAAGGTGCAGACCTTCACGGTGTTACAGCTCATAAAGATAGCGCAGACCCAAAGAGTGAGCAGCAGCCGCCAAAGACGGTGCAGACCCAAAGAGTGAGCAGCAGCAGGATTTATTGCCAAAGGCAAAAGAACAAATCTTCCACAATCTGGAAGAGGACCCTAGCCGGTTGCCACTGCTAGCTCGGGCAGCCTGCTTTTATTCCCTTATCTGGCCCCACCCACATCCTACTCATTGGCTCATTTTAGAGAGAGCTGATTGGTCCATTTTACAGAAAGCTGATTGGGCCGTTTTACAGATAGCTGATTGGTCCATTTTGACAGAGCGCTGATTGGTGCATTTACAAACCTTTCGCTAGACACAGAGCGCTGATTGGTGCATTTACAATCCTTTAGCTAGACAGGAAAGTTCTCCAAGTCCCCACCAGATTAGCTAGACACGGAGCGCTGATTGATGCGGTTACAAACCTCTAGCTAAACAGAAAAGTTCTCCAAGTCCCCACCCGACACAGAAGCCCAGCTGGCTTCACCTCTCAATGACACTTGCCCTGAGGCTTTGCGGCACCTAGCCTGGGTACTCCAGCAGCCCAGAGGGGGCAGCCCAGTAGGCACCGGCCGGCCACACCGAGTGTGGGCTCCTGAGCCTGCACCCACCCGGAACCAGCACTGGCCCGCGAGCATGCACAGCCCCGCTCCCACCTGTGCCTCTCCCTCCACACCTGGTGGGGAGCAGAGGGAGCCGCCGGGCCTCCGCCAGCCCCAGAGAAGGGCCCCCACAGCACAGCGGTGGGCTGAAGGGCTCCTGGAGCACCGCCAGAGCAGTTGCTGAGAGCCAGTGAGGGCTGCTAGCACGTTGTCACCTCTCAGTATTAACAATACAAATACTTTTTTGTCTTATTTGTCCTTTGACTTATTTATAACCAACAGAATGTAGAGAAAGTGATGCTGATGTTGAATGACTCTGGAGGCTAGACCAGAAAATGTTGAAGAGTATCAGAATATACAACCCTAATATATGTTACTTTTGCATAAATTTTATTTTTTAAATTTTTAATTTTTATTTTAAGCTGAAGGCAATTGAGAAAAAGAAGATGCGAGAAGAGCTGTTTACCCTTCCTCTATCTGCTTAAAAGCAAGGAATAAATTTCCATTATAAAGGTGTCCCCTTGTTCTCATACCAAGAAGAGGAGACAGCATCAAGATTACTCTACATAAAGAAACCTAACTAAATAACCCTTTTCTATAATAGTTTCTCCCATGTATTTACCTTCCTACAATTTAATGCCCCTAGAAGCCCAAGCCCCTTTTCTTTGGTTGCTTCCCCACAATTTATCGTACTTTGTTAAAATGGTAGGTAAGCTCCTAAGTGTAACCACTTCTTTGGATTTTTTTAGTTCTTTCTCTGCAGTTCCCATGCATATAAAAATATTAACAACAAATAAAATTTGTATGCTCTTCATTCATTGGTCCTTCTTTTGTCAGTTTAATTCACAAATTAAGCTGCAGAACCTAAGAGGATGGAGGAAAAGTTTTCCTTTCTTACAAGATCATGTGGCATCTGCTTCACTTACTGAGGAGCCCCGAGCCACCATGTATAAAATCTGAATACCCGAAGACCCCCGTACTGTGAGGAAGCCCGACCACATGGAGAGGCCACATGAAGGTTCTCAAATCAGAACCCCACCTGAGGTCCCAGCCTACAACCAGTATCAACCACCAGACATGTGAGTAATGATGTTTCCAGTTGATTCCAACCAACAGCCTTTGGGTCACCTCCAGCCTTTGGATCTTTGCATCTGAAATGCCACACATGACAGAGCGGATACAAGCATTTCTGCTGTGTCCTGTCCAAGTCTCTGACTGATAGAATCTGGGCTTGTTCTAGGCACCTGAGTCTTGAGGTTGTTTGTTACACAGCCTCAGTAACTTGAACAACAGTTATGCAACACTTGAGCTAGACCTTGAAAGATGAATAGGGATTTTTGTCTAGCAAAACTGTTTGGAAAAGGCTTAATATTTTAGGAGAAAAGTTAAAAGGTAAGTGTGGTTAACACATGGGTTGTGGGAGAGAATCAGGAGATGAGATGAAAAAAGTTGATGTAAGAAAGTGTGCTGTATGGTTTAGTGAAAATTATATATTTGTTCATTAGCATAGGCAATTTTCTTCCAGACCGCTGGCTTTGAAATGATGTATTTTTAAAATTGCAAAGTTTATACCATAGAATTTCTGGAGGCTTCTGAAATTTCAATTGGAGATAAAACAGGACTTCAAAATGTAACTTCTCCTAAATTATGAGCTATGGTTTAACTGATGAGTAATTTTTAGTTTTATTGTTGGTTAAAAACACACTGTTATTCCCATGAGTGCTCACATCCAGTTTTAGCATGTGTGTGTGTGTTTCTTTTATTTTTTGTTTTGTTTTGTTTTGTTTTGTTTTGTTTTGTTTTGTTTGCGGTGGGCGGGTTGGTATCAGAGTTATGAATGAGAAGCATTCTTATCAGAATATACTGGATACTAATACATTTTGCGTGTAATTTTCTACAGAGGTATTGATTTTAATCAACTTTCAAGATGAAGCACCACATTTGTCAAGGCAGAAGACCCAAATGTGCAATTTTTTCTTAGGGGAAAACTGGCTATAATGAATGTGCTGAAATATATTAGTTATCTATTAACCTCAACACGCAAGAAAGCACTAGATCATTAGTTTGCCTGGTAAGGGAAAAAACAGGGGCTGCAGCCTGCCCAGCTACAGAAGAAAGTGGAATCAGCAGAACAAGTGGCCTGTGAAGATGCCAGCTTGTGAGAAATGCCTGGCTGACTGTGAACAGGGATATTATTAAATGGATGCATATGATGCATAGCGTAATTATACCACTTATGGCAGAAAAACATCACCATTTTATCAAATGCTCCACTGTGTACATCAAAGATCATGGTATCATCTATCTCTGGGATGCCATGTGAGCTTTGCAGTTCTGGAAGGGCTTCGAGTCAAGTTTTGATTAATTCTTGATGGTTTTATTTGATTATAGAAGTAGAGCTTGAACGTGTGTGTGCGTTTTCCCTTTTTCTTGTAAGAACTGACAATCTTGATTAAATTTCCCTTTTAGGAGTGGGAAGCAAGAAGCAAAGTAATTGTCACCACTTCTTGGAGAAGAATGGCTTATAGTGTTTTGAACATATCGTCTCAAAATAACCTCTTCGGAAGATTAGTGGAAAGAAGCAAAACTGTGAAGACCTTGGTTCACAGTAGCTGTTGATGTTTCTTTTTTTCATTTTGGTATTGATTATAATCGCTTCTTCATAAAGCTCAGATGCAGGGTTTATTTCCAGTTCTTTCACCGTGCTTCTTACCTCAGAGTCAAACCATTGCTATACTCTCCACATAGTTGGTTTCCAGTGTTTAAATTGCATGCGTGAGGTGCTCAGGTTTGTGACATTGCTTTACATATATTACTGTAAAAAAAAAACATAACCCCAAATCTAGAGTATATAAGGCTTTGTGCTAAGCAAGCATGGAAAAGAGTTACTTATGGCTTATATCCATGTGTGGACTATGATTGATAGAATTTCCCTTGCAATTGCCAAAGAGAAGTCTACATGGTCTTTGAAGAAACAAATTACCTATGACCCCATGTATTTGCATTTGTGCTCTTCCTAACTATATAGTAGTCTGAATTTAGTCCCCCAACGTAGGGGGATGTTTTAATGGACAAGCACTTAATTCATTTCAAGGTTTTGAGGATTTATCTTATAAGCACTTACTAAGCAGTGGTTATGTCCCAAGGCCAGGGCTGCACCCTGGAGACTCAGGGAGGCACAATACTTGATTTCATGGATCTCATAATCTAGTGCTATGGAAACATTAAAATATTAAAACCACAGTGGAGAAGAGCAGTGGATAGGTCTTAGGGAAGAAGACTTGTATGAAAGGTGATGCCTGAAATCATACTTAGTCATCTTTACATAGGACGATTTTTATGGAAGAATGAAATCTTCAGGATTGAATGATATTTTCATTTTAGCAAACTGGCCATCTCTTTTCTTTGAGCTTATAAACATGGTTGAATGTGTCAAGTAGCGAGACAAGAAAAAAATACCTTTGAGTGACCTTGCTTTATTATGTGAAAAATGACAAACTGGCAGGCAGGAAAGATACATGGCTTACCATGTATCTTTCAATTTTTGGGATGTACTAAAAAATTCAATGCAGTTACCACATAGAAGCAAGAGCTAGAGAAGTTCTGAGAGAATTTTTAATCTTTAGGTCAGACAGCAAGGATGTGAGGCGGTGAAGTTAAATTACACTGAGTCACATTGACGTTGACTAGTCTGATAGATACAGAAACACACAATTACCTTCACTCACAGAGTTTCCTAGGGCTGCAGGAACAAAGCGCCATAAGCTCGGTGGCTCAAAACATTTGGAAATGGTTCTCTCACAGAGTCACAGCCACGGAAGCTCCAAGTCTGAACTCAAGGTGTTGGCAGGGCTGTGTTCCCTCTGGAGGCCCTACGGAGGCCCCTTCCTCGTCTCCAGCTTCTGGTGGCTTCAAGTGTCCCGTAGTTTGTGACAGCAACACTCCAATCTCTGCCTCTGTCTTCACATGGCCTTCTCTGTGCATCTGTGTGTGTCAAATCTTTGTCTGTCTTTGTCTTATAAGGACACTTATTGGATTTAGGGACCACATGGATAATCCAAGATAACCTCATTTCAAAACCCTTAATTTTATAACATTGGCAAGACTTTGTTTGTTTGTTTGTTTGTTTTGCAAATAAGGCCATAGTCACAGGTTCCGGATGGATATATCATTTGAGGGGAGACAATTCAACTCACTATATACACAAACACATGTGTGTATCTATATAGCTGTATAATTGACACCATGAAATCATTAATAAAAACACTGCCCTTTTTTGAGACAGAGTCTCGCTCTGTCGCCCAGGCTGGAGTGCAGTGGCGCGATCTCGGCTCACTGCAACCTCCACCTCCCGGATTCAAGCAATTCTCCTGCCTCAGCCTCCCAAGTAGCTGGGATTACAAGCGCCCGCCACCACGCCTGGCTAATTTTTGTATTTTTAGTAGAGACGGGGTTTCACCATGTTGGCCAGGCTGGTCTCAATCTCTTGACCTGGTGATCCACCTGCCTTGGCCTCCCAAAGTGCTGGGATTACAGATGTAAGCTACCCCTCCCATATAAAACACTGCCCTTTCTATAGAAAAACTGGTCAAGTACTGGACAGTTTACTACAAAAGAAACAGTAAGTAGATAAAAAATGAAACCTAGGTTCAAAAGCATGAATAATGAATCTTGATTTTAATGATGGTTTCATCAGTGTATGCATATGTCCAAACTTATCAAATTGTACACTAAATATGTGTAGTTTTTTATATTGATTTTACCTCAACAAAGCTATTATAAATACAAATAATAAAAAGTGCAAATAAATTGACAAGATACAAATATATTTAAATATCAAAATGATAGAGATTAAAAAACTGTGCTGCTGGCCAGGTGCGGTGGCTCACACCTGTAATTCCAGCACTTTGGGAGGCCAAAGCGGGTGGATCACCTGAGGTCAGGAGTTTGAGACCAGCCTGGCCAACATGGTGAAACCACATCTCTACTAAAAATACAAAAATTAGCTGGGCATGATGGTGCACGCCTGTGATCCCAACTACCTGGGAGGCTGAGGCAGGAGAATCGCTTGAACCTGGGAGGCAGAAGTTGCAGTGAGCTGAGATCAGGCCGCTGTACTCCAGCCTGGGCAACAGAATGAGGCTCCATCTCAAAAAAACGACAGACAAACAAAAAACAGTGCTGTTGAGTGTGCATTGAGACAGGCATTTTCCAACACTGCCTTTCTGGAAGCAGGGAGGAGAGGCACAGAAATTTCAGCAAGGGTAAAGTCTTCATCCTGCAACCATATTTCTAGGAGTCTAGATAATTCGATATACAGGTAAAGTCACAGCATTTATTTAATCATGTTAATTAGTTATGTAACATATAATAAAATAATATTGTATGTTAATACATAATATAAATATATTATGCTAATACATTGATATATACACACTTAGTCCTTCTATCTGTTACTAAAGGGAGCTCACGTGGCACCAACAAGGAAACACACACTTAGTCCTTCTATCTGTTACTAAAGCGAGCTCACGTGACATCAACAAGGAAACACACTTAGTCCTTCTATCTGTTACTAAAGGGAGTTCACGTGACATCAGCAAGGAAACACAGTCTTATCTGTTACTAAAGCGAGCTCACGCGACATCAACAAGGAAACACAGTTAGTCCTTCTATCTGTTACTAAAGGGAGCTCACGAGACATCAACAAGGAAACACAGTTAGTCCTTCTATCTGTTACTAAAGGGAGCTCACGTGACATCAACAAGGAAACACACTTAGTCCTTCCATCTGTTACTACAGGGAGCTCACGTGACATCAGCAAGGAAACACAGTACTATCTGTTACTAAAGGGAGCTCACGTGACATCAAAAACGAAACACACTTAGTCCTTCTATCTGTTACTAAAGGGAGCTCACGCGACATCAACAAGGAAACACAGTCCTTCTATCTGTTACTAAAGGGAGCTCACGTGACATCAACAAGGAAACAAACTTAGTCCTTCTATCCGTTACTAAAGTGAGCTCATGTGACATCAACAAGGAAACACAGTTAGTCCTTCTATCTGTTACTAAAGCAAGCTCACCTGACAACAACAAGAAAATACACACTTAGTCCTTTGTATCTGTTACTCAAGCGAGCTCATGACATCAACAAGGAAACACACACTTACTCCTTCTGTTACTAAAGGGAGCTCATGTGACATCAACAAGGAAACACACAGTTAGTCCTTCTATCTGTTGCTAAAGGGAGCTCATGTGACATCAACAAGGAAACACAGTTTGTCCTTCTATCTGTTATTAAAGGGAGCCCACGCGACATCAACAAGGAAACACAATCAGTCCTTCTATCTGTTACTAAAGGGAGCTCACGTGACATCAGCCAGGAAACACACTTAGTCCTTCTATCTGTTACTAAAGGGAGTTCACATGACATCAGCAAGGAAACACAGCCCTTCTATCTGTTACTAAAGGGAGCTCACGCGACATCAACAAGGAAACACAGTCCTTCTATCTGTTACTAAAGCGAGCTCACATGACATCAACAAGGAAACACAGTTAGTCCCTCTCTCTGTTACTAAAGCGAGCTCACGTGACATCAACAAGGAAACACACTTAGTCCTTCTATCTGTTACTAAAGGGAGTTCACGTGACATCAGCAAGGAAACACAGTTAGTCCTTCTATCTGTTACTAAAGGGAGCTCACGAGACATCAACAAGGAAACACAGTTAGTCCTTCTATCTGTTACTAAAGCGAGCTCACGCGACATCAACAGGGAAACACAGTTAGTCCTTGTATCTGTTACTAAAGCGAGCTCATGCGACATCGACAAGGAAACACAGTCTTATCTGTTACTAAAGGGAGCTCACGTGGCATCAACAAGGAAACACAGTTAGTCCTTCTATCTTTTACTAAAGCGAGCTCACGTGACATCAACAAGGAAACACACTTAGACCTTCTATCTGTTACTAAAGCGAGCTCACGTGACATCAACAAGGAAACACACTTAGTCCTTCTATCTGTTACTAAATCGAGCTCACGCAACATCAACAAGGAAACACAGTCCTTCTTCCTGTTACTAAAGGGGGCTCACGTGACATCAACAAGGAAACACACTTAGACCTTCTATCTGTTACTAAAGCGAGCTCATGTGACATCAACAAGGAAACACACTTAGTCCTTCTATCTGTTACTAAAGTGAGCTCACGCGACATCAACAAGGAAACACAGTCCTTCTATCTGTTACTAAAGGGGGCTCACGTGACATCAACAAGGATACACACTTAGTCCTTCTATCTGTTACTAAAGCGAGCTCATGCGACATCAACAAGGAAACACAGTCCTTCTATCTGTTACTAACGCGAACTCACGTGATATCAACAAGGAAACACACTTAGTCCTTCTATCTGTTACTAAAGCGAGCTCACGCGACATCAGCAAGGAAACACAGTCCTTCTATCTGTTACTAAAGGGGGCTCATGTGACATCAACAAGGAAACACACTTAGTTCTTCTATCTGTTACTAAAGCGAGCTCATGTGACATCAACAAGGAAACACACTTAGTCCTTCTATCTGTTACTAATGCGAGCTCACGCGACATCAACAAGGAAACACAGTCCTTCTATCTGTTACTAAAGGGGGCTCACGTGACATGAACAAGGAAACACACTTAGTCCTGCTATCTGTTACTAAAGCGAGCTCATGCGACATCAACAAGGAAACACAGTCCTTCTATCTGTTACTAAAGCGAGCTCACGTGACATCAACAAGGAAACACACTTAGTCCTTCTATCTGTTACTAAAGTGAGCTCATGTGACATCAACAAGGAAACACAGTCCTTCTATCTGTTACTAAAGGGGGCTCATGTGACATCAACAAGGAAACACACTTAGTCCTATCTGTTACTAAAGCGAGCTCATGTGACATCAACAAGGAAACACACTTAGTCCTTCTATCTGTTACTAAAGGGAGTTCACGTGACCTCAGCAAGGAAACACAGTCTTATCTGTTACTAAAGTGAGCTCACGTGACATCAACAAGGAAATAGACTTAGTCCTTCTATCTGTTACTAAAGGGGGCTCACGTGACTTCAACAAGGAAACACAGTTAGTCCTTCTATCTGTTACTAAAGCAAGCTCACATGACATCAACAAGGAAACAGAGTCCTTCTATCTGTTACTAAAGGGGGCTCACGTGGCATCAACAAGGAAACACACTTAGTCCTTCTATCTGTTACTAAAGGGAGCTCACGTGGCATCAACAAGGAAACACAGTTAGTCCTTCTATCTGTTACTAAAGCGAGCTCACGCGACATCAACAAGGAAACACACTTAGTCCTTCTATCTGTTACTAAAGCGAGCTCACGCGACATCAACAGGGAAACACAGTTAGTCCTTGTATCTGTTACTAAAGCGAGCTCATGCGACATCGACAAGGAAACACAGTCTTATCTGTTACTAAAGGGAGCTCACGTGGCATAAACAAGGAAACACAGTTAGTCCTTCTATCTTTTACTAAAGCGAGCTCACGTGACATCAACAAGGAATCACACTTAGTCCTTCTATCTGTTACTAAAGCGAGCTCACATGACATCAACAAGGAAACACACTTAGACCTTCTATCTGTTACTAAAGCGAGCTCGCGTGACATCAACAAGGAAACACACTTAGTCCTTCTATCTGTTACTAAATCGAGCTCACGCGACATCAACAAGGAAACACAGTCCTTCTTTCTGTTACTAAAGGGGGCTCACGTGACATCAACAAGGAAACACACTTAGTCCTTCTATCTGTTACTAAAGCGAGCTCATGTGACATCAACAAGGAAACACACTTAGTCCTTCTATCTGTTACTAAAGTGAGCTCACGCGACATCAACAAGGAAACACAGTCCTTCTATCTGTTACTAAAGGGGGCTCACGTGACATCAACAAGGATACACACTTAGTCCTTCTGTTACTAAAGCGAGCTCATGCGACATCAACAAGGAAACACAGTCCTTCTATCTGTTACTAACGCGAACTCACGTGATATCAACAAGGAAACACACTTAGTCCTTCTATCTGTTACTAAAGCGAGCTCACGTGACATCAGCAAGGAAACACAGTCCTTCTATCTGTTACTAAAGGGGGCTCATGTGACATCAACAAGGAAACACACTTAGTCCTATCTGTTACTAAAGCGAGCTCATGTGACATCAACAAGGAAACACACTTAGTCCTTCTATCTGTTACTAAAGCGAGCTCACGCGATATCAACAAGGAAACACAGTCCTTCTATCTGTTACTAAAGGGGGCTCACGTGACATCAACAAGGAAACACACTTAGTCCTTCTATCTGTTACTAAAGGGAGCTCACGTGACATCAGCAAGAAAACACAGTCCTTCTATCTGTTACTAAAGGTAGCTCACGTGACATCAGCAAGGAAACACAGTCCTTCTATCTGTTACTAAAGGGAGCTCACGTGACATCAGCAAGGAAACACAGTCCTTCTGTCTGTTACTAAAGGGAGCTCACGCGACATCAACAAGGAAACACAGACCTTCTATCTGTTACTAAAGCGAGGTCACGTGACATCAACAAGGAAACATACAGTTAGTCCTTTGTATCTGTGATTTGTGCATGTGCTGATTCAAGCAGCCACGAGTCAAAAATATTTGCAAAAAAAGCCCTTTAAACTGTATTGAACATATACAAAGTTTTTCTTTTTATTATTCTCTAAATGACACAGTGTAACAACGATTTGCATAGCATTTACATTGTAGTAGGTGTTACCAGTAATCTAGAGATGATTTAAAGTATAGGGAGAATGTGCATAGTCTACGCTGAATACTACACAACTGCATATCAGGGACTTGAGCGTCTAGGGATTCTGGTATCTGGGGGAGGTCCTGGATCCAATTTCTCATGAATATCGACAGATGACTGTATGTTGTATCTTGATGCAATGAATAAACAAAGCAGATAACAGTAACTGACATGGGGTAGAAGGTGAGGGGAAATGAAGGGGTTGCTATTTATATGTTTACATGGGATGAACAGGGCAGACCCCACAGAGGGGATATTTAACAGAAGCTAAACGTACGAGAAGCAGTCCTGAGAACTGTAGACCAAGAGAGCTCGTGGTGGCCCTGGGAAGGGGCTTGTCAAATCTCGTGGCCCCTAGGGGCTGGTGACTGTTAGCGGCTGGCCAACAGCCAGCTGCCGCCCTGAAATCTACCACTGTCAGCCGGTAACCCACCATGGTGGAGTATAAAGGCAGGCCTGCTGCGAGGAGATGAAAGACTCCTCTGCTGGGCAGCCTGGGCTGGAGGGTTCTACTACCAGCCTTGCCAAAAGTTTCTCAGAATTGCACTGCATTTTAAGACTTTGCCTGCCCAGCCCCCTGCAGCCCCTTCTCATTTTCCTCCACATGCACTTCTCCCAAATAATCTCTTGAGTGGCAAATACCATTCCGGTGTTTGCTGCTCCAAGAGCCCAGATGTACACAGTGTTCCAAGAGAGGCTGCACAAATACAGTGGCCCCGAGGAGCTTGGCATTTTCGAGGAGCATCAAGGAGGCCAGCGTGGCGTTCATGGAAAGGACAGAGGGAGAGTGGGAGATGAGGTCAGAAATGTACTTGAAGTCCTTGCCGAAGAAAAATCGTTGACTTGCTTATTATAAAACCCTTTTTGTTAAGGAAGAAATAAAAACTGTTAACCAATGGCATCTGTATCCATTACAGAATTTAAAGGCAGGGTATCATACAGCCAGTACCTTACAGTCTTCCCATTAGCAGCATTCAACACATCTGTCCAGGTAGTAAACCTAAGTGGCCCAGCTCTGGGCCATTAAATTTTGATGTAACCCATTAAGGAAACTTACGGCCTTAGTTCAAAGGGCTGTTGCCATTGTGTCTGTGAGAGCGGTGCTGCAGAGTGCATTTTATGCAAATCTCATAGATTTTAATGAGTGATCCTGCTTAATAAGCTAGTTAGACCATTTGGGCATTTACTTGAGAGTGACCACAAATGCCTTTTTCTGAAACCATTTTACAGTGCTAACATTTCACTGAAATAGCACTTAACACGGAGCCAGGCACACAGTGAGCACTAAGAGTGTTACATGACTGATGACAGGGATGAAGAACAGGAGTCTTACCAGGTGTGTCAGTCTCGATGCTCCTGAATGACCCAGACAAAAAGGGACTAGAAACTTTCTTTTCAGGAGTTTGTGGCTTAGATCCCTGTTTCACCACAAAGCATGAGCTTGACACAGCCTGGACTTGACAGCACTTTCCACAGGGCACTTAAAAATACTTGTACCTCCTCTCTTTTACCTCCATAAACCATGACAGGTCTTTGCTCAGCCTCTGATAAGCAAAAGATTAGAAAATCCCTTTAAACTTCAGAAACAGAGCAATGCTCAGTCAGGCGATAAAAGCTGCAGAAATTGGTCTTGAATATTATCACTGTGTATCAACTGAAGTCAGATGAAGAGCTCCACATTCATCCAAAGTTCTTTTCATACTAATTAGATGCTCTTCAAAGGTGTAATTACCATTTAAAAATGACTTTGGAGTGCAGGATACACAATAGATTTTTAATGTCTTTTAATTTATTTCGATGTTTCTCATATTTCATTAGTACGTTCTTATTTTACCAATGAGTCACAGGACTTTCAAGGACTTTTCCCTCTCCCACAGTTAAAATGCTAAGCAGAAGCTAAGCTCACGTGAAAAACTTGTCTCAATAACCAGAGAAAGACTATACTAATTACAATTTGGATTGTGTGGATTATCAATTTGTCCGATACTCCGTTTGCCTCCACCTTGAGGAGAGAACTATTTCCAGCCCCAGAGTCAAGCTGCCTCATTGCACGGAAGAGGGAGTAAAATAAGAAGCCTGGTGATGTGCTTATTGTCACAATTTGTGGTACAGCTGACACTTAGACTACATCTGCCCTTGAAGCTCAACTTCTTTGCCCTACTCCTGTGGTGTTTCTTGGCATCTGGTATCATTTCAAAAGGATAAGAATGGCATAGAGAAGGTTTCTCATTGCTAAGCATGGAGTAGGAATATTTTAGTGAAATGTGTAAGTTTTGGGGCGGAAGTAAAAACACCCCATCTGCTCTTCCACACTTGGAGAGAGCTGCACACAAAGCAGCAACTTGGCTCTGGGCGGCAGCTGGCTGAGGTCTCATGGTCTGGAGGACAGCCCCTGGCTTTCACATCGTCCGTGTCTTGCCATTTCTCTTTGGATAAGGCACAAATGTCTGAAGATATCCTCCAGGCCCGAGGACCTGCTCCTATTCTATCCAGTCTCGTCTTTCATGAGCCACTGTGCTTCAGCCACTGCTTTTCCTTCCACCCCTTTGTCTTTCCTTTTTCCCAGGTATAAGGCCTTTGCACTTTCTAAACCCTCTCCTGCGTCTAGTGGGGACTTGGAGAATCTTTGTGTCTCCCTAAGGGATTGTGGATGTACCAATCAGCAACCTGTGTCTAGCTCAAGGTTTGTAAATGCACCAATCAGTGCTTTGTGTCTAGCTAACCTAGTGGGGACTTGGAGAACTTTTGTGTCTAGCTCAGGGATTGCAAATGCACCAATCAGCACCCTGTCAAAATGGACCAATCAGCTCTCTGTAAAATAGACAAATCAGCTCTCTGTAAAATGGACCAATCAGCAAGGTGTAGGTGGGGCCAGATAAGGGAATAAAAGTAGGCTGCCTGAGCCAGCAGTGGTAACCTGCTAGGGTCCCCTTCTGCACTGTGGAAGCTTTGTTGTTTTGCTCTTTGCAATAAATCTTGTTTCTGCTCACTCTTTGGGTCCACATTGCCTTTATGAGCTCTAACACTCATCGCGAAGGTCTACAGCTTCATTCCTGAGCCAGCCAGACCACGAACCCACCAGGAGGAATGAGCAACTCCAGACAAGAGGAAGGAGCAAACTCCGGACACACCGCCTTTAAGAACTGTAACGCTCACTGCGAGGGTCCGTGGCTTCATTCTTGGAGTCAGTGAGACCAAGAACTCACCAATTCCTGACACAAAGAGAGGCCTAAGAAACCATCTAGGCCAATGCTATGGTTTTGGAGTTCAGGACATTGTGGCTTAGAGACAATAATGGATCTGCCTAAAATCACAACACAAACTAGTACCAGTTCTTGAATGAAAATGTAGGTCTTCTGATTCCTAGCCAAATGCTTTTTATAAGAATGAAAATTTTGTGTCCTTGGAAGGCCTAAGGCATTTTCCCAGAGTAACTTAGAAGAGTCGGGCTCCATGAATAATTTAGTAATATAGAAATAAGATTTTTTAAAATGTCTAAAATTGACTGCATGACCCTGGATATAAAGTATAAAAGCAGAAGACAGATGTGATGTGAGGCTGGCAACAAGTCGTGCCATGCTCTATGTACCCACACTAAAAGACAATATCCTTTCCACCTTACATACTTTATGGCAGTATAAGCATGTTAAGTATGCAAATCCTACAATGCTGGCAACATTTCAAGACTAGTTGTGTCACGGTGTTCATAAGCCTGGGAGCTCACTAAGCTACAGAGCTCTTAAAACGTAGAAGTAGAAGAGGTAGAAAAAAAAAAGGAATCACACTCCTTATTACTGTAAACCAAAGAAAAAATATTTACATTTTCAGCATTCTGTTGGGTAGGAAAAAAGCTTTTCCTATCCCATCTTACATGTTGTGCTGGAGCCTGTGAATTAAATTGAAAAAACAACAGCAACAAAAATTAACAAGAGGCAAAAGCACACACATGTAATTGATGTTTTCATGTTACATGCGTGCTGGCTACACATAAGATAAGTGAAAAACTCAAAACACTGGTTAGACTCAGGGGCTTATAAACGATGTGTGTAATTCTGGAATAATCCTACTGACCTTGAAGCAGGCCCAATACTCCCACAGCGTGTTCTTTTGTATAAACATAGACATTGACTCTTCCGCTCTTAAAGCTTGAAACTTGTATTTGTTTCATCTGAGTTCTTTCCTCAGGAAAGGACCTTCAGGCCTCTCCAAAAAAAAAAAAAAAAGCATTAAAGAACTGAAACTCACCAGATGAGACCTCCTTGTTCCTCCCTAGTTCGTGTTTCCTACACATTGTTACATTTCTTGCCTGTTGTATAAAACCCCATTTTTAGTCAGTCAGGGCGATGGATTTGAGGCTGAGCTCCCATCTCCTCAGCTGCAGCACCAGATGAAAGCTTCTTCCCTGGAAACACTCACCATCTCAGTGATTGGCTTTCTGTGCAGTGAGCAGCAGGACTTAGACCAAACCCATGGTGTTTTGGTAACAACCTCACCAAAATAGATGGGCACACACACAAGCCTTTAAAGATACAAAGTTAAACGGATAGTATGGATCATTCAGTATAGAGGAAACAGCATAGCAAATGTATAGAGACGGAAAATTACTAGATATGTTCCAGGAGCAACATGCAAATTCCACTGCCAGTTTTGGCTGTGAGGTCAAACAGATCTGATCTGAATGTTTGCATTCCTCCAAAATTCATACATTGAAACCTAATTCCCAATGCAATAACATTAAGAGGTGGGGTCTCTAGGAGGTGACCAGGTCATAAGGGTGGACCCTTCATGAATGGGTTTAGTACCCTTATAAAAATGTCTGAGAGAGCTTGCTTGTTTCTTCTGCCATATGAGGACATAGAGAAAACTCCATCTATGATGAATGGGCCCTCAGCAGGCACCGAGTCCACTGCTGCCATATGAGGACATACAGAAGACTCCATCCATGATGCATGGGCCCTCAGCAGGCACCAATTCTACTGCCGCCATATGAGGACATACAGAAGACTCCATCCATGAATTGGCTCTCAGCAGGCACCGAGTCTACTGCTGCCATATGAGGACATACAGAAGAATCCATCCATGATGCATGGGCCCTCAGCAGGCACCGATTCTACTGCTGCCTTGAGCTTGGACCTCTGGCCTCCAGAACTACTAGCAATACATTTCTGTTGTTTTATAAATTACCTAGTCTAAGGTACATTGCAGCAGAAATGGACTGAGAGAGACATCTTTCAGAGAATTACCTCTGTTTGTTTGTCTGTTTCTGTTTTGTAAAACTGGAAGAAGAATAGAACTTACAGTTCTGTGGTATAAGATTGTGTCCAGAATTGGTGGGTTCTTGGTCTCACTGACTTCAAGAATGAAGCTACAGACCCTCAAGGTGAGTGTTACAGTTCTTAAAGGCGGCGTGTCTGGAGTCTGTTCCTTCTGATGTTCAGATGTGTTGGGAGTTTCTTCCTTCTGGTGGGTTTGTGGTCTTGCTGGCTCAGGAGTGAAGCTGCAGACCTTCGCGGTGAGTGTTACAGCTCTTGGGGCAGTGTGTCTAGAGTTGTTCGTTCCTCCTGGTGGGCTCCTGGTATCGCTGGCTTCAGGAGTGAAGCTGCAGACCTTCACGGTGAGTGTTACAGCTCATAAAGGTAGTGTGGACCCAAAGAGTGAGCAGTAGCAAGCTTTATTGCAAAGAGCAAAAGAACAAAGCTTCCACAGTGTGGAAGGGGACCCCAGCAGATTGAAGCTTCTGGCTCGGGTAGCCTGCTTTTATTCTCTTATCTGGCCCCACCCACATCCTGCTGATTGGTCCATTTTACAGAGAGCCGATTGGTCTGTTTCACAAAGAGCTGATTGGTCAGTTTTGACAGGGTGCTGATTGGTTCGTTTACAATCCCTGAGCTAGACACAAAAGTTCTCCACATCCCCACTAGATTAGCTAGATAGAGTGTCGATTGGTGTATTTACAAACCCTGAGCTAGACAGAGTGCTGATTGGTGCATTTACAAACCTTGAGCTAGATACAGCGTGTCAATTGTTGCATTCACAATCCCTTAGCTAGACATAAAGGTTCTCCAAGTCCTCACCAGATTAACTAGATACAGAGTGCTGATTGGTGCATTCACAAACCCTGAGCTAGACGCAGGGTGCTGATTGGTGTGTTTACAAACCTTGAGCTAGATACAGAGTGCTGATTGGTGTATTTACAATCACTTAGCTAGACATAAAGATTCTCCAAGTCCCCACCAGACTCAGGAGCACAGCTGGCTTCACCCAGTGGATCCTGCACCAGGGCCGCAGGTGGAGCTGCCCGCCACTTCCGCACTATGAGCCCGCACTCCTCAGCCCTTGGGCGGTCGATGGGACTAGGCACAGCCCTGGAGCAGGGAGCGCCCCTTGTCGGGGAGGCTCGGGCTGCACAGGAGCCCATGTGGGGGTGCGGCGGGGGAGGCAGGCTCAGGCATGGTGGGCTGCAGGTCCCAAGCCCTGCCCTGCCGGAGGCAGCTAAGGCCCAGCAAGAAGTCGAGCACAGCAGCTGGTGGCCCAGGTGCTAAGCCCACTGCCCGGGGCTTGTGGGCAGGCTGGTGGCTCTGAGTGCGGGGCTCGCCGAGCCCACGCCCACCGGGAACTCGTGCTGGCCCTCAAGCACCGTGAACAGCCCCGGTTCCCGCCTGTGTCTGTCCCTCCACACCTCCCTGCAAGCTGAGGGAGCCGGCTCCAGCCTTGGCCAGCCCAGAAAGAAGCTCCCACAGTGCAGTGGCGGGCTGAAGGGCTCCTCAAGCATGGCCAGAGTGGGCGCCAAGGCTGAGGAGGCACAGAGAGCGAGCCAGGGCTGCGAGGGCTGCCAGCACGCTGTCACCTCTCAAGATAAAATGAAATAAATGGATATGAAGTTCTCAGCACAGTGCCTAGAAAACAATAAGATCAGCAAATGTTAGCAACCATAATAATAATTATCATTAGTTGCTGCAGTAGAGAGTTTATGTAGAAAACTAGAAGGATGTAGGCTAGTAAATGGTCAGGTCCTATCAGAAAACCATCCATTATAATGTGTGATATCAAATCTACTGTATCTCAAGTATAAGTTCAAAAAATGTTCAGAAGTCAAGCTCTTTCAAGAAAGGTCAATAACACCTATCATTGGCTCATCATCATGGTCCTTCAATCAGCTCTCTCCTCATTAGGAAATTTGCTATCTGTGAGAAAAGGAGTCTCCTTAATGGGAAAACGTGCTTTGGATTTCCGCTTGATGGGAGGCACTGAATACTAGTGAATTTTGCTTTGTGGCAATTAAATTGAAAGGTCAAAATATGCTAGTTTGGATTCATTTCTAACGTGGCAGATAACTACCAAAATTGCAACTATCACTAAAGCACTTTGATGTACATATGCAACAAAGGCAGAAAACTGCTCTGAATGTCTCCTAAATCAAATATGTCTCTTGTGTATCTTACAAGTAAAAATATCGTTTTAAGCGTTTCTTTAATGTGGAAAATTTTGCTAAGAAACAAGAGATGCCCACTAGTTTGATTTGCAGTTACATCCACTTTCATCAGCTGTTATGGTTACTGATAATTCTTGGCAAGAGTGTTTAACTCATATGATGTAATATTCAGCTTTTTAGTAAAGTTATTCTTTATATGCCTTATCCCAAATCCCAGCATACACTCTCTTCAGAGGCCATGTTTTGTGTTTGTCTCCATGCCAAAAGTAGTCATAATGGAATTCAATGCACATAGACGAAAGCTGGTTGAATAAATTGCACCTATAACCAAGAAGATCAAACATGCTTCCTAGTCTACAGGGTATTTTGCACGTAATATTGGAAGAGAGACTGTGGAGTATCTGACACATTGATATAACCTCCAGTTGCTAGATGCCTAGTAACTCCGTGCACGAAAAGAGTGTTTCAAGAGATTCTTTCATAAACAGAAGTTGCACAAAATGACCACAGGTCGCTCGAAACCCTAAATATCTATGATATTCTACCAATGCTATATTCACAAACGTGTCTTAACGGTTCTCACCGGATTCTATTTTACTCACTTTTGAAAGGTCACCTAATTTTTTAAAGTGAGCTAATTACTGTAGTGAGTAAAATAGTCTTGAATGATTGCAGGTGGCAATACTATCCTATTACCCTTCTAAAGGCTAAGGTGACACCAATTAAATTAAGGGTGACTGATAATTCTTTTTTATTACTACACCTGTATTCATATTTATATACTTTTCATTAATGCTCCTGGAGTCAGTTAAAAGATAAAGGGGAACTAAACTCAGCTCATTAATAAAATTTAAAAGTTGGTTTCCAGACTCTATATGCTGATTACTCTCTGCCACCACGAAGGCATTTTAAAGCAGCACAGATGAGCACATAAGCAACGAAAACAGACTTTCCACAAATAAACCTTGAAAAAGAAAAAAAAAGGCAAGATAAACAAGATCAGCAGGCCAGCAGTCTTGTCAATTCTTCACTGTCCCAGTGGTACTTTCAACTCATTAATGTTGGCTGCTGTGTTCTCAGGTGACTTGCTGGTATAAATGCCTCATTGTCTGGTAACCAAAGGGAACAGCATTTTATTGCCAGTAACCTGATAAAGAATTTTGAAAACAAGAGACACAGCAGATAATGAGCGTTTTGCATGGGCCCTCTACACTCTATAACCATTCAAGCTTTCCGAGCAGAAAGACATGACCTTTTCAGTCCTTGTGCCTTCTACGCTGTGCAGTGCTAGTCGGTGCCGGGATGAAGCTGACAGAATCCTCCCAAGTGGCTCCAAGCACAAATGAGGTCATCACAATGGAAAGCACTAATCCGACTCATTGTACTTACTCTAAACACATGAGCACTAACAAGTTTCCTCTACTTAAATGTTGCTTTTGTGTGTATGTGTCTGTGTTTGTCTGTCATTTAAAGGTATGACCAGATGCTACCTTGCAGCCTTTTCCTGGTAAACTCTTGGTCATTTTCAACATTTTCCTGACATTCCAGCTGAATAGTTATCATCACTTCAATTTTTAATACAATAATTTAAAGCATTCTATGATTCCAGTTTTCAAAAGGTACAACACACATAAGTACTTCCCTTAAGATGCTGATAACTAGTGAAAACACTATAGTGATAATTCTCTACTAAACAGCAAAATAAAGGCTAAAATGTTATTGATGCTTTCGCATTCTGTAGAGAAAGTGATTTTTCATAGCGTTATTGACTGCATTTCATCTGTTTTGCATATTGTTAATGAACCTTGTTCTCTTTAAAACAAAACAAAACAAAACAAAACATCTTTCTTTAAAAAAAAGAACTCACTTATTTCCTTGACACCAACATACACTATGACTTCCAAATTATGCCACCTCTGGGGAACAGTTTTTCATATCCTCTCAAGTACTTTTTTTTTTTTTTTTTTTTTGAGATGGAGTCTCTCTCTGTTGCCCAGGCTGGAGTACAGTGGTGCAATGTCGGCTCACTGCAACCTCTGCCTCCCAGGTTCAAGTGATTCTCCTGCCTCAGCCTCCTGAGTAGCTGGGATTATAGGCGCCCGCCACCATGCTCGGCTAATTTTTTTGTATTTTTAGTAGAGACAGGGTTTCACCATGTTGGTCAGACTGGTCTCGAACTCCTGACCTGCTGATCCACCTGCCTCGGCCTCCCAAAGGGCTGCGATTACAGGCATGAGCCACTGTGCCCGGCCAGTAATTTTACTCTGTGTGTTACTTGGCATTTTCCACTTTTCTGTTCTCTTTTGTGCATTTGTATTCTATTTTATATTAGTCCATGGTTGTGGCACATATTAAAGATGTTTGTAAATTCTTGTCAAGTAAAATGAATAAACGATCTGATGCCAGTTGTTCTTAAAATTATGTTCCCTCTCAATCTCAGAGGGACTTAATACTCTTCACACTTTTTACCGACTGAATGCAGGAAAATCCCAGGTCATCCATGAAGCCTGTGATTCTGTTGGTTCCATCGTCCAACGTGTCCCAGCTATCATTCAAGAGTGGACATAATGCTCTGCTCCCAGACCACGTCAAAGTGTCCACTCTGGGTGCCCCACGACAACCTACTGGCCAGCACTGACTACCAGACCCTGTTGAAGTGTCCACTCTGGGTGCTCCACGACAACTTACTAGCCAACACTGACTACAGGGCTCTAAACTAAAGGAGAGAACTGTTGGGTGGTTATGCTTGCAATTAGACCCTCCAGGGTGTCTACTACCACTGATGGAAGCAGGGGAAAATAAATATTATACATTCAGAGTTTGGCTACTCCAAAAGAGTAGGAGTCCCCCAAACACTGGGGACTCCTACTGAAGCATCATATATGAGACATATGAAGAGTAGAAAATGTAGGAAACATTGACAAACATGTATTAAGTCACTTCAATATAAGCCTTGGAAAAGTCTAGGAGCTCTATTAGAGATGCATGAATAGAATACAATCAGGGGACATGGTATGACCAGAGTTGAATAAACAGCATTGCTCACTACTCTTCCTGAAAATAATACTAAAAACAGCAAGAATATATTTTAAAATACAATTTCATTTTAAGTTGAACTAGGAGTAAATAGAAATGGACCATAGACTCAAAAGTACATATAGAGACTCTAAACAGCTGAAATCAAGCAAGCCATGGAAGACCAAAGGAAGAAAAGCACAGTGATGGCTTAAAGGCACAGTGGTGGCTGATTTCAGAAAGGGCTGAAGGCCAGGGACTCTGAAATATAAAAGTTGTATTCTTTGTTTGTAATAATGGATTCAGAACCTCTATGGACCGAGGTCATCGAAGACTTTCTGGACCCAGTTTCACTCAGAGAAGGTGATGCTCTACAAAGAGCCGATGACTTAGGTGTATCTGCAGAAGCCACTGAATTCTATGGCAGTGAAGGAGAAGACTGTTGGGTTGTTAAGCTCTTAGCCGTATCTGCAGAAGCCACCAAATCCTATGATGGTGAAGGAGAAGACTTAGCCATATCTGCAGAAGCCACCTAATTCTATGGTGGTGAAGGAGAAGATTTAGCCGTATCTGCAGAAGCCTCCAAATTCTACGGTGGTGAAGGAGAAGATTTAGCCATATCTGCAGAAGCCTCCTAATTCTATGGTGGTGAAGGAGAAGACTTAGCCATATCTGCAGAAGCCACCTAATTCTATGGTGGTGAAGGAGAAGACTTAGCCATATCTGCAGAAGCCACCTAATTCTATGGTGGTGAAAGAGACTTAGCTGTATCTGCAGAAGCCATCTAATTCTACGGTAGTGAAGGAGAAGATTTAGCCGTATCTGCAGAAGCCATCTAATTCTATGGTGGTGAAGGAGAAGATTTAGCCATATCTGCAGAAGCCTCCAAATTCTACGGTGGTGAAGGAGAAGATTTAGCCATATCTGCAGAAGCCTCCTAATTCTATGGTGGTGAAGGAGAAGACTTAGCCATATCTGCAGAAGCCACCTAATTCTATGGTGGTGAAGGAGAAGACTTAGCCATATCTGCAGAAGCCACCTAATTCTATGGTGGTGAAAGAGACTTAGCTGTATCTGCAGAAGCCATCTAATTCTACGGTGGTGAAGGAGAAGATTTAGCCGTATCTGCAGAAGCCATCTAATTCTATGGTGGTGAAGGAGAAGATTTAGCCGTATCTGCAGAAGCCTCCTAATTCTACGGTGGTGAAGGAGAAGACTTAGCTGTATCTGCAGAAGCCATCTAATTCTATGGTGGTGAAGGAGAAGATTTAGCCATATCTGCAGAAGCCATCTAACTCTATGGTGGTGAAGGAGAAGATTGTTGGGTTGCTAAGTTTGCAAGACAACTTTGCCTCCTCCTTTCTTCTTCATAGAAACTTTTCACAAATTATTGGTTCAAAACATTTCAATTAATTCAGTAATTAATAATTATTGATTTATGTAAAGACACTATAAGAAAAAACTATGGGGAAAAATGCAAACTTATCAATGGAGAAAGATCACACAACAAAAATCAATGCCAAAAGCAAGATGAAAATGTTACCCAAATATTTTGCCATGAAATGAAAACTTAATGGAGCTGTCAGATCAAAAATGGAAGACCATGAAGCAGAAATATAAGAACTCAGAGAAAGAAGCGGTGAAACGTTAGAATAAAAAAAATGTGCTGACAAAAACCAGCAAACATGAAGAAAAACCAAGATCTTCATAGAAACGAAGGTGAACCTAGAAGAAGTAGAGAAATTAAAACAGACTTTAGAAAACTCAGTAAGGAACATAGAAAATATAAATAAAAAAGTAAAAGTAAATACAGTAAAATTAAAGGGAAAATCTAAAAATTATTAGAGGGAAAACAGTGGCTATAGAAGATAAGCAGAGACAATCTAAAATATATCAAAAAAGGAAGGTATGGAAAGAAAAAAAAAAAGACAGCATTGAAAGAGCATGAATCCCTTTAAGAACTGATTCAACAAAACTTTTCCAGAATAAAATTAGGTTCCACAGAAAAGGAAACACTAAGAACACCCTACAAAGTTTTAAAGAAACATTAAGGAAAAGATCCTTTAATCAAGCCGCTCTTAAAAAAGAGAATGTAACAGGCTAGTCTCATATTTTTTCCTAGCAAAATTTAATGCCAAGATACAGTGGCCCATTACTTACAAGATATTCAAAAAGTGGAATGAAAACCAAAGGTTTTATACCTAGTCAGGCTACATTTCAAAGTATACTTCAGGCAGTTTTAAATACACACAAACTCAGGGAATATTTTCCTACTTGGGAAAAGTCCCAGAGAACAAACTTTAGCCAACAAAGAGATAACTAAGGAAAAACTATGGTGAAATATTATAATTGTGAATTGTGTTGACTAAAACTAAAATAAACATGAGAACCAGGGTAATAAAATGCATATAAATGCCATATGCCCTGGAAATAAACCAATATCGAAACTAACAAAAAGTGGAAGAAGAAGGAGGAAAGAATGGAAGACATAGGGTAGATCAAGGCTGCTGCATACGATGTTTGTACAGTTTTCAACTTTGAGGGGTCTTGTTTGCTGAGACCCTGACATCATCTGCAGCTCCAGAGCTGAGAGACACGATGTGCACACACACAGGTGGGGGTCTGAGGAGGAGGACTTGGTCAACTCAGCTGTAACAGCCAGGACTCAAAGTGGATCATTCAAAGCAGTAAATCAAATGTTAGAAATAGAAGCGTATGTAATAGCAAAATAACAAATACTAAATAACATGCCACGGATACTCTCATTGACCGAATTCTAGTAGTGAGAGGCCTGGAAGGGAGTAGAAAGAGAAAACACCTAGTTTTAACACAGCGGAAAATAGAGAAGTAATCACTCCTGGGTAAATGAAGAGATCATAAAAATACTGCATAAAGCTGTCATTTAAAAAATTACCACTGAGCAAGTTCCCAGACGAAGCTACCAGAAAAAAGTTTTTCTCAAGCAAATAAATCAGATCACATAGAAAACAACTTTTAAAATTTATGAACACATAAGATGCTATCATATACGCATGAAACACCAAGCATAACTGTTATATCAATAAATATAAATGTAAATATGATATACACATATATAATTAACCATTACTGAAGGACTTGAAAAAGAATTTGATCAGATTTCCAGAGGAGAGGAGCTTGGGATACTCTTTTCCCCGCAGTGAAACAACCGTTTAACTGGTAAAAATTATAAAACACACTTAAAGTCTCTGGAAATTGACCTAAGGGCAGATGCAAATTAATAAGCATTTATTCAAGAAAATCTCCTAAATGTTGATAAAACAGTGGAAGTCTGTGCCCTCTGAGCCAGAGCTAGTTCCTATTCCCTCCTCCAGCTCCATGTCACAGGAGATCTCCACATCACATGATCACACGTCACATGACCAGGAACATGGGAACTCCTTTTCAGCCCCACTCCCAGTCAAAGACGTATGATTACACCCCAGGTGATCTCATCCCCAGACACCACCCCTCTAAGTAAAGGAAATTAGGATGCCATCTCACATCAAGGGGACAGATGAGATGTTTCAACAATGTTGATGTTTGGACAACTAGGAAGATATATGAAAAAATAAAGTTAGATTCATTTCCCACATCACATACCAAAATAAATTCCAAATAAGACAAAAACTTTAATGTGAATAAAAATAAAACTAGGCCGGGCGCGGTGGCTCACGCCTGTAATCCCAGCACTTTGGGAGGCCGAGGCGGGTGGATCATGAGGTCAGGAGATCGAGACCATCCTGGCTAACAAGGTGAAACCCCGTCTCTACTAAAAATACAAAAAAAATTAGCCGGGCGCAGTGGCGGGCGCCTGTAGTCCCAGCTACTCGGGAGGCTGAGGCAGGAGAATGGCGTGAACCCGGGAGGCGGAGCTTGCAGTGAGCCGAGATTGCGCCACTGCAGTCCGCAGTCCGGCCTGGGCGACAGAGCGAGACTCCGTCTCAAAAAAATAAATAAATAAATAAAATAAAATAAAATAAAATAAAATAAAATAAAACCATACAAAAACATAAAATAACATTAAAGAATTTCTTTAAAACCTGGAAGTGAGGATGACCTTTTTATTTCTGAAAATCCAGAATCCATAAAGTATTAACATTTTATCACATACAAATTAAAAATTTCTACATGGCAAAAAATAAGGTATTTGGATCTAAAGACATATAACAAATTGGAGGGCAGACATTTGTAATCATATCACAGATAACGGGTGAATCTCTCTGTATAGGAACTTTTAGAAATGAAGAAGGAAAAGATAAACAACAGAAAAGGATTCAAAGATTAATAGTTCTCAGAAAAATTCAAATAATTTTTTGATAGATGTCAACCTCAGTTATAAAACGAGAAAAGCATTTAAATTACCATGAAATACCATTTTTCACGTTTAGATTGGCAAGAACTAAAAGTTTTATAATATATATCATCAGTAAGGCTGTGGAGTGTAAGCTTTTACTACCTCTATCGAGGGCAATTAGTATCTATCAAAGTTGCAAATACCTGTAATATTTGACAGAGCATTCCCACTTTGGGGTTTATACAACATACTTGAACATGTGTAAAATAATGTATGCATAAGTGTACTCATCAAAGCTATTAACTATTAACAAAAGATTCAAAATAATTTTATTCTTCAATCTTGGACTAGTTAAGTAAATTATTGTCTAAGTTCAGTGGAACGCTATGTCTTCATTTTAAAAATACATAAAGTCTACATACTGACTTATATGAAATATTATTTAGAGAAAAAATAAGGTTTAAAACAGTGTGTTTAATAAACTGTCCTTGCTGTAAAAAGAGAAAACATAAAGGTATACATTTATTGTTGCTTGCATATGCCAACAGAAACCCTAGAAGAACGCAAAAGAAACTAATGACATCAGTAGCCTCATGATGTGGCCATGGGGACTGAAACGAAGACAATCACGAGATTAGGAGGAAGACTTTTCAATGTATACTTTTACACTTTTTAGATATTCAGCCATGTGCATTGATTTCCTACTTCAAAAAACACCCAAATTTTAAAATAAAAGATATAAAATTCAAGATAATATAGATCAAATAATCCATTCACCCTGGCCCAGTCACCACTCCTTCCTCTACAGAAATACGCACCTACAGAGAATTTTTGAAATCCTCTAGAGAAATACACACCTACAGAGAAGTTTTGCAAAAATAAAAATAAAAAAGCAAGAGGCGAAGCAGTGTTTATTACTAGCTGAGATGCTTTTGCCCCGTTAACCCCCACAGGCTGAACCACTTGGAGAAATTGTCCAGCCTTGCATAGACACAGAAATGGGCTCCTCTCTTGAAAGCAATTCTGAACCTCAGTGTTACACCGGGCCCAGAACACAAACACGGGGAAGCAGGGAGAGAAGAGGAATAACAATGCCTCCAAAGACTGGGGTTAACCTAGGCCTTCCCAAGCTGGAGAAGTAGATGAGCACCAGGCTGCCACAGCTAGTAGGGTGCAGGCACTGGCCCCTGAAATTCTCATTCTGTTCCTCCCAAGAAATGTCTGAAGGGAGGTCAATGTCTGCTCAATGATCTTGCCCTTGCGCTCAGAATAAGAAGCTTCTGATTTTTACCCCTTCGAGGCCCCACCTGTAAACAATGTAAACCAATCAGGTATCACAAAACCTGAATGCTACGCCTTATTTTGGGGAAATGAACTTTATTGCTCTTGGTCTACACTCAGCTCTTGTAGACAAGTGGGAGCGTGGGAGACACAAAAGGGTAGAGAAAGAGCCCTGTGCTTACCAGGGAGGCTACTGTGGTGTTTTGGAGGCTAAGTTCAGGAGTTTATCCAGCATAGAAGGCAGGGGTTTAATGCCTCTTATCAATAAATATTTACACATATAACCTACATGCATTGAATCTATAATGTGCATACATTTCTTGTACCTGAAAATATCTAATATTAAACCAAGGAGAAATATAATTATAGATAATATAATACACATAGTTATAGCATACATTTTAGATGAAGCATTTTTGCATGCTAGGGTAGACAATACACACAGTTACAGCATACATCGTAGATGAAGCATTTTTGTATGCTAGGGTAAACACAAAACCTGTTTGCTATGAAGGCCCTGGCAGTCTGTACATCTAGCCAATCATTTGCATACTATTAAATAACACGTTTGCAGTAAAACTAGAAGGCAATAAAGCTGTATCCATGTGTTCTCTAACCTATTTGATCAATGCTGCCATAAGAGCTTCAGAGATTGAATATTTGTGTGGCTCTCAATTTTGCTCACAATTTACGTAAATTAGAAGCTTAAATGTAGGATATTGGTAATAATTTATGTGATCTAACAAACAACTCTCTAAAGTCTTTGGAATATAAGGTCTCTGGATAGCCAAAACTTCTAATTAATTGAGGATTACAACTTTAATCAACAATAATTTTTTTTAATAATTTAAATATTTTGGGTGAAAATCTTTTCAAACAATTTTCAAAGCCTAAAAGCTTTGAATTTGGTTGATAATTTCTAAGTCAACACTATGAACACTGGATTACATATAATAGATATAATCTATGTCATACAAACATGTACACAATAGATATGATGAGGTCTGTTAAACTATGTGGGGTTATTTGCATTGGTCTATTTTTCCACTTACTTTGTGAGTTTTTCTCTCCCTTTCCTTGCTGTCAGTGTCCTCATGTAGCAGCTTTTCTCCTTATTTCTAATTTTCTCATTTTACATCTACTACAGGCTTTGAAATTGCATACTGAAGCTTCTTTAAGTACTATGTAACCTAAGATTAGGCCTTGAAATAAGGGCAAAAGAGATCACTTTCAAGCCACATGTGTGAGATTTGAATGCAGGCCCTTGAGATGATACTTTGGCTGTATACAGGTTTGTTGCTTCCTGCTTTAGGCTACATCTAAAGCAGAGTTTTCTCTGATAAGAGTTTGGGTTAGATTCAACATAACCTTAGAAGAAATGGCTACCCTATTTTATTTATGCTTTGCTTTTTTTACAAAAAAGAAATTTTATTAAAATGTATAGAAAATCATGTGATAAAATATTTTTTAAAAAAAGAAAAGAAAAAAGTGAGGTCTTTGAAATGTAAGGCAAAAGGCAAGAGCAGACAGAGCCAGGTATAAGACTCATCACACAACACAAGCCAACAACCCTCCATCTTTGCCAGAGATGAGGAACAAAGTTGGTTTTATGCTTTGTAGTCCATCCAAAAAGCTAACAAAACTCATATTGTTACTTAGTGTAAACAAAACAATCGCTTCAGTAAAGTGCAAGTTTTTCAGACAGTGAGTCCAGAAAACAATTACTTCTTACTTCCTCCTCAAGAAATCACTGTGAAATGCAAAAATAACGTTCTCGGCAATGACGTTACAAGAAACCCAAAGATGAGTTTTAATAGCATAATTCAATGAAAAATAATTCTATGGGAAAAGAAAAGATTACAGCTCACCAGAAACACAAAATTGCGTATTCCAAAGCACAACCACTGATGGTCTGTGGCTGCTCCTGGTGGCTCAATGGCACTATCTGTGACTGTGTTGGATGCACACAGGTGGTCATCTCCCAGTACAGTGTGAGTCATTCAGCACCTCAAGTCACTGAAGAGTGCCTGACAGACCCTAGGCCCTCCTAGCCCCACATCTCAGTCTTGGTTCCTCAATACAGCAGCTAAGTCTTGATTTAAGCAAATGAAAACACAGCAGGGAGCTCTGCTATTACTCCAAATATGATTACTCACTATAGGCTTTAGAACAAAGGAAATAGAGACAAATTAATCAAAAGAAGCAAAATATCTAGTAAAGACATTACTGTCAGTGGTTGGCGGTTAATGAGTGAGTGACCTGGATAAGGACTACTTATTGCTAAAGGCATCCTCCAATACACAGAGTGGGGAAAGTGAAAGAAAATTAAACACACAAAAACAGCACTATTCTTTTTTGCCTGTGACAGCAAGCCAAAATGTCAACACCAACTCCTTAACTTTACTTTCCATGTAAGCAAGCAGCATTAGCATTTCTCTAGAGGAAAGGACAAAAAAATAGTTCATAACAAGGTAAGATTTGGAATTAAAAACATAAACTGGTGTGGTTCAACAAAGCCAGATTTTTCAGTGCAAACAATGTATCAACTGTCAGTTGAGTGAAAAGATAACCCAGTCTCCAGTGCCTAGGGGCCTGGAATTATACACTGCAAGGTATTGTGCATCAATTTCCCATGTGTCAGAGAAAGGAACAGTTTAGCCTTGACACCAAGAGGTCTGCACACACAAATACCTAAAAGTAACCTAAAAGTCTATTCATGTCCTTAGCCCACTTTTTGATGGGATTATTTGTTTCTTGCTAATTTGTTTGAGTCCATTGTAGATTCTGGATATCAGTCCTTTGTCAGATGTATAGATTGTGAAGATTTTCTCCCACTCTGTGTGTTGTCTGTTTACTCTGCTGACTGTTCCTTTTGCTGTGCAAAAGCTCTTTAGTTTGATTAGGTCCCAGCTATTTATTTTTGTTCTTATTGCGTTTGCTTATGGGTTCTTGTTCGTGAAATCCTTGCCTAAGCCAATGTCTAGAAGAGTTTTTCCAATGTTGTCTTTTAGAATTTTTATAGTTTCTTGTCTTGGATTTAAGTCCTTCATCCATCTTGAGTACCACTTGTTCCCCAATAACCTATGGAAATACAAATATTAAAAAATACAAAATAAAAGTTACTTAGCACTCAATTGCAGTATGTCTGAACCTCTTGGAAAGATGGATGCCTTTCAACTATTAAAATTATTTTTTAACTATATATCTGAAAAGCATTATTAATAAAGATTCGTGAACTTAGCAGTTATAGTTCCAGAGAAAGAGTGCCAGGTGTACAGCTCTTAGAATGTAAGCTATTAAGATGCAGAGATTGTATCTGTGCAAATCACTTTGTTCAACACCAGCGAGAAGTGAAATATTTACAAATATTTTTTTGATGACAATGACAAGGAATCAGGACCCTTGATTAGAAGAGATGGATATCCAAGTCAAACCAGCTATCTTAGAAAAGAAATTGGGAGCTCCCCTTACCAAATGTTGAGAAGAGCAGAAGTAGAGCTGGGCCTCAAGCTAGTGCCAACATCTGAAAAGGGGCTGTTGGGAAGAGCAGAAGCAGGACTGGGCCTCAAGCTAGTGCCAGCATCTGAGCATCTGAAAAGGGGCCAGGACTCCCTGTCTCTAAGTCTTTCATTCCCACTTTCTTGGTATCTTGGCTTTATCTCCAAACCAAAATCCTTTTCTTCCCTAGAGGAGGAAATAGAACTCCAGTAGCTCTCTGCTAGCATCAAGCTAAGCTGAGGTGTAAAAACTCTCTTCTACTTAGTTCTGTGCATGGACAGAATCATCTGCCTACTCACAAACCAATCCTGTATTGGGGGTGTGGCATTCTGATCTCCCAGGTTGGGTCATGTGCCTACCCTTAGGGTGGGAGGCAGAGATTTATGAGTTGGGTGAGGAAAGAGAAGTAGTTCCTGCAGAGGAAAGGAACATGCACTGAACTACAGAAATGGGGAGAAGCAATGAATATTAAAAGAAGTAGACTGATGTTAGGAGAAAATGGCAAAACTAGGGTAAGATTCCCATATATCTCAGCTGGAGTACTACAGAGCCCCATGTGTTAATACACAAGAATACATTTTATAGAAGATGTTATTATTATTTGTATGAAACTGGATACTCAGTTGAATTCGTACATGAATGCATAATGCCATCGCTCACTACCAAAAATTTTGCAGTAGAGCTTCCCACATTTGGGGCAATTCCAGGGATCAGCATGCCCCTATAATGGATCCAGAGTGGAATGGATAAGCCTTGCCCTGGGAAAACTGCCTTTAAGATCATGGTATCTGCCCTGCCAGGTAAGTATGAAACTGGATCTTTCTAAGGCACATTGGAACAAACCTCATTTTTAGCCACAAGTTATGGGTATTTTGAAAAGCCCTTATTGCAAAACACATAGAAACAGCAGGTAAAATACAGTCAACATGGACTTAATGCATGGTTGTTCTTCCAAGAGGGTAAGGAAACCCCCGGGGAAATGGCAAAGCAGAAAACCTGAATGGGGGGGAAACGGCAAAGCAGAAAACCTGAATGGCCAATGAATGCAAAACCATGGCTGCTCCGGAAACATTTCCCAACCTCAAGAATCTAGAGACTTGAATCTGAAGGCTGAGCAGGGTGGCAGAAGACAAGGCTTTTAGGTCACTGCCAGGTAGAGACCTCTGCATACATTCAGAACTCATTAATCAGGAATTAAAAGCTTCTAACAAAAGTAAAGAGATAAAAAAGGAGCTTGTTCATCTCATGTTCATTGCAGCATTATTCATAATAGCCAAGAGGTAAAAGCAACCTAAATATCTGTCAAGAGATGAATGGATTTTAAAAAGTGGTATATACACAATAAATTATTATTCAGCCTTAAAAAAGAAAGAAATCGTGTCATATGTCATAACATAGATAAACCTTGGGGATACTATACTAAGTGAAATAAACCAGTCACAAAAATACAAACACAGTGCTGCATGATCCTTCTTATATGAGGTTTTTAAAGTAGTCAAACTCTTAGAAACAGAGACGTAAAATGACAGGTGCCAGGGACTAGCGGAGGGGGAAAAGAGGACTTGTTCAGTGGGTATAGAGTTTTATAGTGAATCCCACACTTAATCCTACTCAAGCTGGTATAGAGGATAGAAACAAAGATAAGACTATAGATTTATGAACAATAAAAAGTGTAAACCAAGCATTCTATACCTAGCCAAACTGTCATTCACATATGGAGATGAAAAGAGAAAAAGAGTTTCAAACATGCAGGAATGTAGGACAATCATTTGTACAACCTTACTGAAAAATTGTTCTCTGAATTAACATAAATGTGGCCGGGCATAGTGGCTCACGCCTGTAATCCCAGCACTTTCGGAGGCCAAGGTGGATGGATCGCTTGAGGCCAAGAGTTCAAGGCCATCCTGGGTAACATGGTGAAATCCCATCTCTAGTAAAAACTCAAAAATTAGTTGGGCCATGGTGGCGGGCTCCTGCAATCCCAGCTGAGGCAGGAGAATCACTTGAACCTGGGAGGCAGAGGTTGCAGTGAGCACAGCACTGCACTCCAGCCTGAGTGACAGAGGGAAACTATGCCTCCGAGAAAAACCAAGCAGACAGACAAATACATTTTACACTGGCAAAGATCAAATTATTTGTGATTATAGTGCTCATCATTTACTGAGCATATAATCCCTAGCAGTAGTTTCACTAGATACTTTATAAATGCCATTTCTGTCTGTCCTTCAACAAGCCTCTAAATTAGATGTTCTATCCACTTTATGGATATGAGAAATCTAAGAGAACTTACTAACCCACTCTTAGATTTCTCATCTATGAAGTTGACAAAATAGCTCATTTACAGGCTTTGTAATTTCTAAAATATCATATAGCTAGGATTGTAAATTGATCCTGGTACTTTTTGATTTTTTGAGTTAAAGTTCATGCTGAAGCGTGTTGGGTTGACAGGCATTCTGAGATTCAGCACAGGGCATAAGCAAAATGGCAGCTTTTCCTACTGGGGTAAAGGAGTCAGACCACCAAAATAATCGGTTCTTTAAACCTCCTTTCTGATGACTCACATCCTCAAAACTTTATGAACTCTTAACATGATATCGTGTACACTGGAAAAATGCAATGTATATTTTTAATAAAAATGGAGTGGGTTTTAGGAGATCTAGAGCAGTCACAGCTGACATCCAAACTGTTCTATTTCACTCGCAGAGGTTTCCATCTTCCACCACCACGACCTCCACCTTCCTGCTCTTCACTCCTCCTTACTTTACTAATCTAGTTACTGTTTTTCTCTCTTCCAATTCAGACTCAAAGTGACAGGACGGGACAGAATGAGGCAGAAATCACAGGGTTTGTAAGGCCTGGAGAATGGGGTTCACACAAACCTTTGGACCACTTTTTCTCAGGGGTAGACTTCATGCTCAGATGCTGATGTTCTGTGCTGGACCTGTTTGGGTTCCTCCTCCTCATTCACTCTTGCTCCTGAGCATCACCTGCTCTGACTTGTAAACGTTCTTCTAACATCCCCTAACACAAAGGAGTTAACTGAAGCTCTGAGAGGCCTGGAGGTCAGTCATGGACCTTCACATTATTTGACTTTAAACAAATCTTGAAAGATTCATCCCCCTCAACATGGCACTTGTGTGCATGTAGAGGCATTCATCTCACACCACTACAAAAGAAGCAGCAGTGTTTGCCAGAAATCATGGGATTCCTCTTTTTTCTCCGGGCTCCGGGTCTGAATTGCCAGGCCGGCTTTGTCAGGAGTGATAAATGTAAGAGTCATGGCTGGGTGGGGCTGGATTGTGCTATGTGTGGCACATAAGGGATGAAAGTGAGAGATATTTCCTAATTACAAATGTATGTTCTTTATTCTTCAAAGTTTGGATTCACACCTCTCTATTCCATTTTTCTGCACAAAATCTCACTGTATCATTAATGGATTTGTCCAGTGCATTGATAATATCATAATCTATCCACTCTAACCTGATTAAGCATGCACTTGTCATTTTAAAAAATGAGGAAACTGGCATACATGTTTCAGCAAAGAATTTGCCACACCTGCATTGTGTATGCAGCTGGTTTAATTACAGACATAATGTATTTAGCATAGTATGTACGAAGCTGCATCACACCTGAACATCCCATTTGATGTATTTCCTGAGACCTATTTGCCACTGTTCTTTCCTTTGTGACTGTCCTTACAGAATTAATATTTTGATAACTATTATATAATTAATTATCCTTCAGGACCTCATTGAAACTGCGATCTTATTCCATCACATTTGGAAATGAGTGTACGCTTATAGCTCCTTTTGAAGATAATGAGGCATCACAGAAGGAGCCATGATCTACATTTCCTTGAACATCCAGAAAGCAGAAATTACGATACTGTGACTGGCCCTGGCTGTGTTTTGATGAGATTGTCTTGGTCATCACTTTCTCAGTTTCTTAGCACCAAGTTCTTGGGTGACCAGTTGCACAGAACACCACTTGCATTACTGAATACAAACTGACTTGGGGTCTATAGGGTGACGGTGGTTGAGGGTTGACAGCAGTGCTGTAGGAACAAGACTTGAATCACAGAGGGAGTCTACATGGAGCAATGTGGTGATATATTTCCAAGCACACAATTTCTACAACAGGTCAACTGCAATTCCCACACAGCTGACCCAGCCCTAAAGTGAACATTGAGTAAAAGCAATCATATCTTTATTCCAAACCATCTGAATTTGCTGATTTTTATAAATATGTTATTTTATTCTATCAAATAAATTCTACTCCTGGATTCCTTAAAACAACTCCTGCATTACTTTGTAGGTAAAACTATCAAAAAATTTGCATAATTACTTCATTTGAAGTTATTAAACTGCTAAGGCAGCAAAATTCATTAAGCTACATTTTACTAAACTCTAATCATTAAGTGAAACAATATTTTTCCCTCAAAAAAGGTAATAGTTTCCTGGAAATATTCTTCATGGCTTTATTTCCTCTGCTAATTGATCCGGGTCATTTAATTCAATAATTTTTATAAAGGTAAAATTATAGGAATTTAATTGACTTTTGCTTAGCTTCCAATTATGTCTAATTTGTTTCTATTCAGTCTCATTAGATCCAGTTATGGTTGGACTAATAGTAATTACTCCCAATAGTTAATGTACTTTAAAATAAGGACTCTGTCTTCTGTTATTTTCAAGTAATTTTTCATCAGGGTTAGGCAGGGCTTCTTAATCATATTAATACAAATGGTTTCCTATGTACATGAGTAAGTTTGCATTTAGTACGCAGGCAATCCCATGTAACTTAGCAAAGCTAGCAAGTCCCTAGACACGGCGCAGCCACTGTAGAGGTGGCCTCTCACTAGCATCGTTAATATCAATTGTAATTGGTAGGCAATCACTTAGTTTCACATTTCATTACCCGAGTTATACAAATGTGTAAAAAAAATACAGTTTTAATAAAAGGGAGTAAAGGATAATATGAGTAATATTCACAATCTCTAGTTGGAAGAGGTAGTGTTTTCTCAGAAATGATGCATTCCTGGAGCAAGGTCATTTTGTGTTTGGTTTGTTAAATATCTATTTCCATTTTGACAAACCATTGGAAAAGCCCAGCTTCACAAGGACTCTCCATGAAAGCGATCACAAAAAAGAACACCCATAACACAAAATCAAAACAAGGGTGGTCTGGGCTTCAATTAAAGACTCATTACCAAGTTTTCTTAGAAGAGATAAGGAACACAAAGTTACTTTTATGTGATGGAAAACAGAGAGAAAGAGTAAATGGAACAATAACCGTTAGGAAACAGCAGTGAGAAACAAGCTGTGGAAAAAAATGAATGGAATTATGTTTTGTTTGCTATTGATTTCCTATCCTGATATCAGAAAATATGGGAAAGAACAAAGCACATTTTTTGAGACAAATAGAACATAGAATAAATTAGCATTAAAGATTATTTTGCAGTGCTAACAAAAATATCTGTGACTTGTTTCTTCCCTTCAAAAATACGATTTTGTACAATTACATTTATATGAATTATAGAAATAAAATTGTAAAGATGGAGAACAGACTATGGGGTTGCCAAGGGGAAGGGATGGAGGAAAATGTGTCAGAGTGTCCACAAAGATTGCAAGTTGGAGCCTGGCGGTGAGGCTACAGTTCTGTATCTTGACTGTCGAGGTTGTAGTTACAGAGATCTACACGAGATAAAAATGCACAGAACACATGCACACAAATACACACACACATACATACAAAAACAAATGTGTACAAAATGGTTGTGATCTGAGCAAGCTTTCTGAATTGTACCTATGTCAGTTTCCAGGTTTTGATATGCTCTATGGCTATGCGAGATGTCACCGTTGGGAGAATTAGTGAAGAGTACCTAAGACATCCCTGTACCTTTTGCAACTTCCTGTGAATCTATAATTATTTCAAAAGAAACTTGAAAGTCGAGTATAGCAAGGACTAAATCCATCACTTCAAAGAGGAAAAAACTGAAGATGAATGAAATTGTTGAAGAACATCAAATACTCAACAGTCCGTATGAGAGCTGTATTCTGTCCACTCGAAGCTCAGCTGTCGTTTAGCCTTTTCCTGACGTGCCCTGGAGGACTTGAGCTCCCCTTGGATTGCCAAGGCCTATAATGTTTATTTGTTACTAACTTTGTGCTGGACCCAAAAAAAAATGAAAAGTGATCGAATAATCATTTATAATAACAACTAGTACTTTTACTTATAAAGAGACAATAGTGGTAATGAATTTAAATATTTGGGGTAAAGAATAGGATCTTGGTAAGACAATATTGGCAAAATATAAAACAGAAAAAATAAGGAATCAGAAACATAAGTAGTTCAGTACTGTGAAAAAATTCTGGATCTGAGAAGCAAAAGAACAGAGATTGTATTGCATTTCTGCTCCAAACCTGCTGAATCACCTTAGGCAATGCATGCCCTTTCCCTGAATCTGTTTTCTTTTCTACAAAATAAAGTGAGCTAGATCATCTCCAAATATTCACATTTTTCGACTCTACATGGACTTCAGTTGAATTGCTAATTTCAGTTTGGATAATACATGTGTGCTGCACCACAAGTGGTGTGTCTAAACCCTCATGTTGGTCCTAAAAAATAATTAAATCTAGCATTTGGCAGCTGGAAGCCATTGCAATCTTTTAAGTATTCCTGAAGCTTATTTTATCAGTGTATCAAGATAAAATGCTAATAACGTGGTAGATATAAAGTCTGTTAGCAACTATCAGTGCTGTGTTATCTCAGAAGACTTTGTTAGGATAATGATAAGAAGTGGATCAAGTAAAACAGCCTGAATTGACCCCCAAGATCCACTAAAATGATTAACTATTCCATTCATGAAAATTCACTACAGTCAAACTATCTAAACTTGCTGTTCCTGAGCTGACGTTATTCCAGTTCTACATGGCAGTATTAATTGCACCTCCATTTGGCTAAGCATCATGAATAACAGCAGTCTTAACAATGTATCGCCACTTCCTTATATACCTGTTTACACTTGTGATCATAATAATGTCAACTTTAATACTCTCACCAAAAAAATGTTGAAAAAAATACCCCTTTTACAACGTAAAGCTAAAGATCTAGGCTTGCATAAATGATCAAAAGCTAAAAGGTAGCACCAGTAATCTCTGTTAGTACTGCAAAAAGACATCAAGTTCAGTATCAACTTAATAAAAAAGACAGTTATTAACCAGCAACTGAACTTTAAGGTTATCATGTTGCTTGCAACTGAAATACGAGCCTATTCACGAACACAGACGATATTCACATGAACATCCCTGCTAAACTCTACCTGAGCTCACCATGAGAGTAAACCGGGAGGAGGGGTAGAGATGATAGCTCTCCATATATAATGCTTGAATCTCCAGGAGGCAACAGAACAGGATCATTGCCCCACCATGGCTCCTTCCCATCTGTTTTGATCATCCAGGCAGACCTATAGTGAAACAAAATGAAAGCACTAACAGTTTCCTGGGCTGTATTTTTCTTAGTATCCTACAGAGAAACACCTAGTCACACTGCCACTGACTGCACTCCTAACCCTGGATTTTGCATTCTCACACTGTGGGTTACAAGAGGCAAACAGCAATGCAGATCCATCACTATCATCGGATATAATGCAAATAAGACACTTGCTGTGGATGGCTGATCATAACAATAACATGATCTGGGGGCATCAGAAGTCCTGCTTGACTCTTATTTTCTAACATTTTTGCAGGCTGCTGGCTGACCTCCACCCCACTTCAGGAACAACAGGATAGACTACAGCTGGGCCGATCCATAAACTCACCAGTAGCCCAGGAGATGGCCTGACATGAAAAGTTCTGCACAAGCAGGAGCAAAATGAGCCAATAGCTCCACTTGCATTCTGTTGGTATCCTGCATGTTATTTTCACAGAGCAATACAAGTTTCTGCTGTACTGCACACACATATTACTCACTTTCTTTGCCGCCATGATGCTTAAGTATTTCAACTGCATTTTTAAGTAATATATCTTTCAAAACTTCGCTTAAAAATTGCATGATCTCCAGTTGTAGCTTCAGTAGTCTGTTGAAAAGTTTGTCTAAGACAGTAGGCTTTAAACATTGAAATAACTCCTTGGTCCACTAGCTGGACGATTAAAGTTGTATTTGTTAGTAAAAAGCGGCTTTTTAACATCTTCATGGAGGTATCCAAATGAATAAAGGTGACCTGGACACTTATCCAACAGTGATGGTGCTTTAAAAGTTAAATTATGTGAGTTTATGACTGGAGGACAAGTAGTTTACACAACTACACACCTTGATATCTGTCTAAACTAAATTCATACAGACGCACAGGTACACAGCGACAAATAACCAGCACACTTTCACAGAGACAGCATGATTGCTCACTGATCATCATGCTTGTCCATTAAATACTTACTAATTTTTGTACTAAAAACCAGCATCAAAATTTGTACTGAATGAAATTACACATAGTTAATACACTGTGGAAAGTGAAATTTGCACTGTGTCCATGAAGGAATTATATATGTTATCTAACCAAAGCACAGTAACAAAAATTCCTGCATATAAGAACCACGAAAAGCCAGGACTGCTGTAAGATTTTTATATTACTTGGGAGATGATATAATAGTACTTAAGAATAAACTGTGATAAGTTAACAATATACACGGTAAACGCTTGAGCAATAACTTTGAACAAAAATACATAGTGCACCTATTGAGCCAATAGTTGCAATAAAATATAATACTGATATGGTTTGGCTGTGTCCCTAATCAAATCTCATCTTGAATTGTAGTTCCCATAATCCCCATGTGTCCTGGGAGGGACCTGGCAGAAGGTAATGATACTTATTGAGCATCTACTATATCAGGTGCAGCCAGTGTAGCTCTTGAACAAGACAGACAAAATTCTCATACCTCTACCAGGGTCATATTTGATCTTCATTTATCTACCATTTATAACATTTTATTTGTCTTTTATTGGAAACCCTTCAAATCCTTTCTGAAGTAGATATAGTTGAAATAAAGATATAAGTTGAGACTGAGATCATATACTGCATTATTTCCCTTGCAAATTCATATTAATTACAGTGAATATCTCATTTTGTTTTTCTTTTTGTTTGGAGGGAAGGAGTAGTTCCTGTCTTGCTACTTTTCTTTCTAACCGTGCCATGATTTAAGTTCCTTCATTCATCGTGTTGGCTCTCTTGAAGAAAAATCCAGACACCTGCCTTACACTGGAAGCAGCAAGGGCTTTTCCTCGCCGGCTCCCGTGCAGCTCTCAGGCAGGCGTGTGACCAGACCATGGCTGTCAGTCGCTCTCCCTCCAGGCTTGGACTCTTGATCCGTGATGAGAGAACAGCAGAGGCACATGATATTTATCGCAGCACCAGTGCGCTGAGCGAACCCTTCCTGCCCAGAGACGAATGCAGGGTCCTTGCTTCCCCAGTCCCTTTGATTTCTATTTTCAAGCCTAGTTTCTCAGCTTCCAGTTTATTCTTTGAGCCTTGCTCTCATTGCTACCACCAACATTTTTCAGGAAATTCCCCTTTCTTTTCATGTTATTTTCAGATGGTTGCAACTAAAGAGCACTAAGCAACACTCTCCAAACTCAACTGGGCCCTGCTATTCCCAGTGTTGCCAATGAGAAAGAATACATGGAGCCCCACAGAAGGAGGAGTCAGAGTCCTTAGCTAAGGGAGGAGACCACTACTCATATCGTCTTATGCGCAATTTCTGCCTCCAAAGAAATAAGAAGTAAAAACTAAAAGGCAGAAATGAAATCCACAGGCAGACAGCCCAGTGCCACACCCTGGGCCTGGTAGTTAAAGATCGACCCCTGACCTAATCGGTCAGGTTAACTATAGATTACAGATATTGTATGGAAAAGCACTGTGAAAATCCCTGTCCTGTTCTTCTCCGTTCTAACTACCAGTGCATGCAGCCCCCAGTCATGAACCCTCAGCTTGCTCAGTCGATCACGATCCTCTCACGCGGACCCCCTTAGAGTTGTGAGCCCTTAAAAGGGACAGGAATTGCTCATTTGGGGAGGTCGGTTGTTGGAGACGTGAGTCTTGCTGAAGCTCCCAGCCGAATAAAGCCCTTTCTTCTACAACTCGGTGTCTGAGGGGTTTTGTCTGCAGCTTGTCCTGCCACAAGCCAGCACTGGACACTCAAAGTCTCTTGTGCAATAAGCACTCAATAAATAGTGGTGAAAGGAAAAGGGTGGAAAGGAGGAGGGAAGAGAAGAAAGGACAAAGAAAGAGAGGAAAAGAAGGAAAGGAGGGTGGGAGGGAGGAAGAAAGAGAGGGAGGGAGCAAGAAGGGAGGGAGGGAAAAATGTAGGGTGGGTGGGCAGGAGGAAGGGAGAGAGAAAAAGATAAAGGGAGGGAAGGGAGGGAAAGGGGAGGGGGAGGGAAAAACACAAGGGCGTGGGAATAAATCCCAAATGACCATTTCTGGCAAAAAATGCTGAGTTAAAAAAATCACGGGAGAACACCCCTTTGTTTAGGTACTTGCTATCTCTTAAAAGAACACAGAAATTATAGTTTATATATTTTACATGAATATTGAGGAAAATAAGGATCTGAAGGATATGCAGAGAAATACATGAAAATACAAAATTAGGTGTCTAAATTCAGAAAAGCTGGTAAATATTAATGAAGTAAAATAGCAGGCAAAGACATGTGGGAGGGGAGTGTGACTTAGAATGTAGACCTGAATAAGAAAATTAAAAGTTATTTTAAAGTTAGTTGAAGGACTAAGGGTGGAAATCCATAGGATTCCTGCTTTTTTTCTGTCTATGCTACTTTGGCAAGTATAGTGCATAAAAGACATAAGGAAGATTGAGAAAATCATGGATGATCTTTCTACTTAAATGAAATTGTATCCAAAACCAAAAAACAAAAACAAGAGTGAGAGACAGAACTTTTTCTATGGGTTTCCCACTGTGGAAATCTCCCTACAGACACCTCATGTGTTCTTTGATTATTTGGCTGGTTGGATTATTTTCTCTCTCTTCTGGCTGTTTGCTAACTGAGGTTTTCATTACAGAGGCCGTCTATCACCCGGGTACCAATTCCTGATTAATGGAAAGATACCATCTCTCGACATGGTACCCTCCAGGTTTGATTGACGCTGCTTCGAGCTTTGAGCACGCATCGGTTATGTGACCCCGGGCCTCTTGTTTGCTCATCTGTTTTCATTTTGTGGTATAGAAACTTTACATGTCCAGCCACTACTAAGCAGAAACACAAAGAAGCAATTATCTATTCAATTGATGTTTCCCAGATGCAAGTTATTTAATGCTTTTATTAACCCTTAGAGTGGCATGTTATTCAGTCTCCACACCAGGTGAATATTCGGTAGGAAACGCAGCTCCTATACACACACTATTGTCATTTAAAATTAAAGGGAAAAATTAAAATGTCTCTCCAGCCAAACTAGCCCTTTTTCAGCATTTTTACATATTATGAAATAAATCTAAGGCAACTTTTAGGTTGTTTACAGAGAATAAAAAGTTATCTTTAAATCTAGGGCTTAAAATGAATAATTAGAGGTAAATCTAGTTGGCTTAATCAAAATAACTGCTATAGGAATTACATACAATTAGCGTCCAAATAAAATCCTTAGCCTACTCTATACAGGAAAGTAATATAAATATTAGATAGGAAAATATCAATTCTCTCTCTCATGTCTTCTCAAGATCACATTTAAACCCTTGATCCTTCTTGTCATTTCAAGCACAAGCCAAAATACAAGCCAAAACACAAGCAAATCATGAGGATAAGGCTGAATTTTAAATCTTGATTCCAAAAGCCACTCTCCTATTCTGGTTAGAAAAATAACAAAGCTATGTTCTGTCTTTTATCACTGCACATTTAGGCCACAATCATTCAAGTGTTTTGCCAACAATGAGCACAGCACAAGGTACCAGGGGGCAATGGGTAGACAACCTTTCGACAGCTTATTCCAGCACAGACTGATGCAAAACAAAATGCTGCCAGAGCCAAGTCCCCTTTCGGCTTCTTCCTGGCTTTCTACAATCTTATTCCTCACTTAATTTCTCCATCCTGTTCCCTTCTCTCTGCCCCTAGTAGCCCGTGACTCACATAAGCCTTTCTCAGGCCAGCAGGCACATGGGAGCCTCACCCGGCCTGGGGCCAGCAGATGAACCAGGAGTGTGACCCAGGTCCCAGCAATAACCAGAGGTGACAGGGCAAGGGCTACAGCTTAAGCACTTTGAAGATGAGACTTCTGACCACATGGAGAGAAAATAAGCACCAACCTATACCCGTTGCACAGGGTACAGTAGAGCCACCAAATTGCAGTCAGGAGCCAGGACCTCTTCGCTGGATGCTGTCCTCGCCCATATCACCCCACACCGGGTCATCGCGGTCTGTGTTCATCACTTTCCACCTCTTTCCTTTATCTTTGTCCTATTCCACCATTGCTTCTGCTTCCTTCCCCAAGACTGATCATGTATGTCCCAACTGAAAAACAAAAATCTCTTTTCTGAACCCTGCAACAGTCTCTACCAGCGGTCCTCACACAGGGCAATGCCCTTCCCACCCCCACCAGAGGACATTTAGCAACATCTAGAGACCTTTATGTTTGTCACCGCTAGGGGAGGGGTTGCCACTGTCATGGGGTGTCCAGGCCAGGGATGCTGCCAAACCTCCTACAAGGCACAGGACAGCCTTCTCTCCCCAACAACAAAGAATTGTGTGGCCCAAACTGCCCATAGTGCTGAGGGAGCAACTCTGCTTTGGACACCACTCGCTAAACTTCCCAAATGAACTCCCTGCGTGTTGTCTACACTTAGTGGTTTGCGCTTTCTCCCTCCCAACTCACACTGAACCGCAAGGATTGGTTGGCTGCCTGCTCTGCTGCACACACACAGCTCTTGCAAATGGCACACCCAATTCTACAGAAAAACGCAGCGGATAGTGCAGAGGAGAAACGCAGGTTCTTTCCTCTCTTCTTTGCTTTTACACAAAGATAATCTTCTCACCAAAACTGTGCTCTCAGTGTGACATCAGAGAGAAACCAGAATGGGACTTCACTGACATCACTCACCACCACAGAAATTCAACTAGCAGCTCTCCACAGGCAAGAATACCATCGTGCATGTCCCAGAATTCAGGACTAAGGCTGAGACACACTCCTGGACCCCAGAGCTAAGAAAAGCTGTTGCAATGGTAAAAAGTGGAGAGAGATGTTGAGCGCACACTCCTCCCCAACCTGGCAGAGCCTCACATGCAGAGATTCCTCTGGATCCGCAGTTGCACGGTGAGAAAGTGAGTTGGAGGCAGAAGTTCTGCTTCCCCACCATTCTGGGCCCCTTTGCAGGAGCTCACGCCTGTCTTGTCCCACAGGAAACGCTTCCCCACGATTCTGGGCCCCTTTGCAGGAGCTCACGCCTGTCTTGTCCCACGGGAAACGCTCCCCCGCCATTCTGGGCCCCATTGCAGGAGCTCACGCCTGTCTTGTCCCACGGGAAACGCTTCCCCGCCATTCTGGGCCCCTTTGCAGGAGCTCACGCCTGTCTTGTCCCACAGGAAACGCTTCCCCGCCATTCTGGGCCCCTTTGCAGGAGCTCACGCCTGTCTTGTCCCATGGGAAACACATCCCCACCATTCTGGGCCACTTTGCAGGAGCTCACACCTGTCTTGTCCCACGGGAAACATTGGGAGTGCCCACAGGGCCAGTTAGAAACAAAAACAGGTGGGGCTCACAGCAAACAGGGCACAGATCGGGCCTGGCCCATGGAGGTGCCACATCAGAGAAACTAGCCAGAGGCACCACGCCACAGGAAGCACCCCCACAGGTGCTCCAGGCTCAGCCCCCAGCGTGCTTCAACGCCCTTCGTAATAGCAAACCCTCGCAAATCCAGCATAGAGGGAGCTGCCTCAGCACAGGAGAGACGCCCATGCCACACCCATAGCTAACGTCATTCTCAATGGTGGAAAGTCGAAAGCGTTTCTCCTAGGATCAGGGAGAAGGATGCCCACTCTCACCACTCCTACTCAACATAGCACTAGAAGTCTTAGCAAGAGAAAGAAACAAAAGGCATTCTAATTGAGGGAAGAAGTGAAATGTCTCTATTTGCGGACAAATTGATCTTTTATATAGAACACCCTAATGGCTCCACAAAAAAACTGTTAGGACATATAAACAAATTAAGGTTTCAGGATATAAAATCAACGTACAAAAATCAATAGCGTTCTATATACTAATAACAAATATTTAAAAAGTAAATTTCAAAAAAAAATCCCATTTACAATAGCAACAAAATAAATAAATACTTAGGTATTAATTTAACCCAGGACGTAAAAGACCTGCATACTGAAAACTATAAAATGCTGATGAAAGAAAATGATGAAAACACAAATAAATAGAAATATTTTCCATGTTTATGGGTAGAAGAAATAATGTTGTGAAAATGTACAAACTACCCAATGTTCTATAGATTCAGTCCAGCCCTTATCAAATATTCAATGTCATTTTTTACAGAAATAGAAAACACAATCCTTAAATTCACATGGAACTACAAAAGACCTTAAATAGCCAAAACAATCATGAAGGAAAAGAACACAGCTGGAGGCATCACACTCCCTCATTTTAAACTCTTTTAGCAGTTGCAATTAGTACACCCTAGAACTGGCATAAAAAACAGACAAATCAATCAATGGAACAGAATGGAACACACAGAAATAATCCCCCACATTTATGGTCAACTGATTTTTGATGAGGGTGCCAAGAACACACAATGGGGAAAGGAGAGTCTCTCCAACAAATGATGTTGGAAAAACTGCATATCCACATGTGAAATAATGAAATTAGACCCTTATCTTATGACATACACAAAAATCCACTTAAAATGGATAAAAGATTTGGCCTGGCATGGTGGCTCATGCCTGTAATCCCAGCACTTTGGAAGGCTGAGACAGGTACATCACCTGAGGTCAGGAGTTTGAGACCAGCCTGGGCAACATGGTGAAACCCCATCTCTACTAAAAATACAAAACTTAGCCAGGCTGGTGGCAGGTGCTTATAATCCGAGCTACTCAGGAGGCTGAGCCACGAGAATCACTTGAACCCAGGAGGCGGAGGTTGCAGTGAGCCAAGATCACACCACTGCACTCCAGCCTGGGTGGCAGAGTGAGACCCTGTCTCTAAATAAATAAATAAAATTTAAAAAATGGATAAAAGACTTAAATATAAAAACTGAAATTCTAAAATGACTAGAAGAAAACATAAGGGAAAGTTCTATAACGTTGGTGTGGACAATAATTTTTTTTGGATAAGACCCTGAAAGCACAGGCAATAAAAGCAAAAACACACAAATAAAATGGCATCAAACTCAAAAGCTTCTGCACAGCAATGGAAACAATCAGCAGAGAGAAGAGACAGCCCACAAAATGGAGTAAAATATTTGCAAATCATACATCAAGTAAGCAGCTAATGTCCAAAATATAAAAGAAACTCAACCCAATAGCAAGAAAACAAATAATTAGATGATGTTAAAATGGGCAAAGGACCCAAAGTCCTCAAAAGAAGATTTACAAGTAGCTAGTTGGTACATGAAAAAATGCTCAGCATCTCTAATTATTAGAGAAATGCAAATAAAAACCACAATGAGTTATCACCTCACCCCTGTTGGAATGGCTATCATCGAAAAGATGAAAAATAAATGTTGGAGAGGATGCAGAGGAAAGGGAACTCTTATGCGTAATGGAAATGTAAATTACTACAGCCATTGTGGAAAATGACATGGAGGTTCCTCAAAAAACTGAATATAGAACCAGTAAATGATGCAGTAATCTCACTTCTGGGTGTGTATCCAAAGGAACTGAAGGTAGGTCCAAGAGACGTCTGCACATCCATAGTTATTGCAGCCCTATTCATAACAGCCAAGATGTGGAATCAACCTAAGTGTCCATCCGTGGATGAATGGATAAATGTGGTATATATACAATGGCATACTATTCAGCCTTTCAAAAGAAGGAAATCCTGTCATTTGTGACAACATGGATGAATCTGGAGGACTTTATGCTGAGAGAAATAAGGTAGGCGCAGAAAGACAAATACCCCATGATCTCACTGGCATGTGAAATCTAATAAGGTTGAACTCATAGAAACAGGAAGTAGAATGATGGTTACCAGAGGCTGACAGGTGCGGGGTGTGGGAAGACAGGGAGTGAGGAGTTGATGATCAAAGAGAACAAAGTTTCAGATAGACAGAGGGTTGGTGATCCATTGCATAGCAAGGTACTGTAGTCAGTAATGATGTGTCATATATTTCAGAATAACTGAGAGCATAAATTTCAATTGTCTCACCATGAAAGAGAACAGGTAAGCAAGGCGATGAATATGTTAGCTTGATCTAATTATTTCATCTTGTATACAATTATCAAAATATCACATTGTACCCCACAAATGTATACAGTTATGATTTGTCAATCAAAACAAATGTTAATAATATTTTTTGTTCTGAGACAGTCTCACTCTGTTGCCCAGGCAGGGATGGGGTGGTGCAATCATGGCTCACTGCAGTCTCAATCTCTCAGGCTCAAGCGATCCTCTTGCCTCAGCCTCCTGAGCAGCTGGAACTACAGCCACATGCAACCACACTGGACTAATTTTTTAAATTTTGTGTAGAGATGGGATTTTGCTATGTTGCTCAGGCTGGTCTTGAACTCCTGGACTCAAGCTATCCTCCATCCTTGGCCTCCCAAATTGCTAAGCTTACAGGCAGGAGCCGCTATATTCAGGCAACTTTTTTAAAAAAACTATGTTCTCTGCTGGTTTCTGTGACCTCGTCACATCATTGTCGTGGTCATTGATTCCTGAAGTGTGAACTCTAAATGCCTTTGTCTGGCTCCTAGGACCCTTGTCTACATGCCCCACCATTGAATCTCATAGGTCCTCCCCTCACACCTTGCTTTTCGGTTGTGCAAACCACTTATCAATTCCCAAAGAGGCTGAGCACACTCTAATCTTTCCTTTTCTGCCCAGATTCCTCCCCGCTAATGCTGATTAACCCTTTTCCACCTTTCGAAATTCAAGACAAATGTCTCCTCCTCTGTGACAGAATTCTGGGCCACCGTCAGTGCCTTCCTCTTGCCTGACAAATATCTTGTCACACTTCAGTTTCTACACTTGCTATACCTGTGTGTTCATATGTCTATTACAACCTCCTCTCCATGCAAATGGAAGGCCCTGGATCTGGGTTCTCTGTACTTTTGTACACCGAGAGCCCAGTACAGTGTCTGGCAATTAGTTGGTACTAAATAACAAAATATGGCAAAACAAATAAATAAAATACATGATTTAAAAGCAGACAATGTAATTGTCATTTGAACAAGTTCTCCAACTTTATTCTATTACCTTTAAATTCTCTCTTTTTCCTTTCTTCCCCATCCTTGCAAATGAAAAGATCCATGTACTATCAACCTTCCTCTCAAGGCTTGGGGTTTTAATGAGTCAATGTAATAAATTTACGTGTTTTGGAGACGAAAGAGCTGAGACAGAGAGGCTAAGTAACTTACCCGAGTAGGAGCTGCGACCTAAAGTCTGTATTTCTGACACTGCACTGATCCTAACCCAGGCAGTGAAGGTCCAGGGAAGTGAAATAAGACACACTGGACCATGACGATACATGGGAGGGAAATCTGTGAAAGACAGAGAAACAGAGCTTAGTGCCCAGGGTGGGATCTTAGGCTATTCTGGGTGATGGTGAGTGGGCAGGCCAGCAGCATTAAAGCAGCAGTAGGAGGCAGGGATGGGACCCTCGTCATAACCCGCCTCTAAGGGAACTCACTGCAGGGTGAGCATGGCCCATCAGTGACCCGTCAGGCAGGTGTAGCAGATATTTTGCATGACTCTGATGCACTGCTTCCATTTTTTAAGGGAGTGGTTGACTCACAGTCGGTATACCGGGGGTGACCCAGGCTCTGGTCTGCCGCAGTAACACTGGTCACATGCTCCCCGGAGCGCAATGGTAGCTGGTTGAGCATCCTCACCAAGTATGGTTACCTGCTTCTCATTCTCACGGACACAGGCTTCTAACAACTTTTCCGATTGCACAAGATCATTTTTGAGGCTTCATTCCCTCCCCCACAGTAAAGAACAGACCCCAAATCCTCAGCTTGGTCTAAAAAAAGTATTCTAAAATATGTACATTGATTTTTTCAACTGAATGTTTTCAACTAAATCATCTCAATGGAAAGTGAAAAGGGAATTTTTGTTTGTTCAATAGTTTGCCCAAAGGATTGTATCATTTCTTTAAAGTAAATTTTAGTCAAAAAGTAGATTTATATAAAATTCTAACAAAATTGCTTTCTTCTGGAATAAACAAGTCCTGTAAAATACTGTGTATTTATATATAAAATAACAGATAATATACACTATATATATATCACACCCTATAATATGTACTATATGTATATAAATATTTTATAAGGAGAATTTTATTCCTATGACGTAATGGTGTTATAATTTTGAAAACCAGAAGTAGGGCCTAACAATGTGTTAAAAATATTTGCACTAACTGTTAATTGATGCGTTAATGTCATTTTCATCTTCCCCCAACAAATATTTAACATTCAATACTTATACATATCCCCTGGTAAATGAACTTTCTTATTTGCCAGCAAAGGTTCTTAGAAAAATAGACTGAAAAGAAATAACTTCTATCTAAAGATGTTTCAAAAGCTTCACACAACTTACAGAATGGATAAAAATGTCGCATAACTTACAAGGGTAAATTAGCATGTGAAGGGTAAATATCATTTTACTTTAATGTCTCTCAAAAATCAAAATCTTACCTTACCATAATTCTTAACCTAAAAAGCAATTAATAAGCAGTGTTTTATAATGTTGCTGTATCTTGGGTGTGCCTGGGGAACTATTTGTGTTCTTCTTAACTGAGCTGTATAAGCAAGTAACAAGCTGCTCTGAGAAATCATTCGGCTTTTGAAACCAAAATGATTATTAGATTAGGTCAGAGAGATCCACAGCCAAATTTATCATGCTCATATGTCTCTTTTTATCTGCCAAATATAATTGCTTGTTATTTGTCTTTTTAAAATATAAAATAAAGTTCAGTGCGCAAATAAAAATTCAATGCAGCTCAATACATGAAAGTTGTTTTTACAGAGATTCAAATCAAAGCCATCCTGTCCAATCCCGCTCTCATTTAGAAAGGTTTCCATTGGAGCAGAAAGGTGGTAATGGCTGACAGCCAATCTGCAGTGGAAAAAATGCAAGCCTGTGACCTAGAAGGCACTGGTGTTCAAAGCCCTAATTACTCAGATGTCAGAAGTACAAGATTACAGGCTTTTATAATGTCAAGATAATTAAGATAGTTTGCAAAATTGCACCTGGTAAATTCTAAATTCAAGTGACCCCAGTGGTCTGCAAAAGAATATAAAGATGTCCTTGGTAGCCTTCTGCCTGTATCTCAGTGGTACTCTCTTCCTGCCTTTATCTCAGTGGCACTCTCTTTCTGTCCCTAATAATGCACACTGTGATCCCAAACCTGTACCTGTGAGTCGAGACGAACAAGATGGTGCACCAGCTCTTGGGCTTCTGAGAAGAAAAGGAAAACAGGAGCCTGTCCCCATCCCACACTGTGCTGGAGACTTTCTTAGACACTGAACCACACTTCCACCCATTGTGTTGAAGACAAGAATACGGGGAGCCAGAGACGCTGAGGAAACGTGCCCAAGCCGGCGGCAAAGCTGAGATTTGCAGCAGCCCCATTAGTCTAGTAGACTCTGACTGACATCAGCTGAGGCCAGATTTAAAGAGATGAGCATTCATGGGAGCATCTGTTATTTTGTCACACCCTCCCTAACTCGGTTTTAAATAAACAACGCAAGTGAAAAGGGGCAATATTATGTGAATAACTATCATATTACATTATTTGTATTGGAAGACGCTTTTCTTTTCCTCATATATTCTTGATGTCACAAGACTTCAGGCCTTTATGCAAAATGTACAACTGCCACTGTTAAAGTACGTGCTGAAATTATAACGACAACCCTCTCACATCGACCCCCACCCATATGGGCTGGCCCACCCTATAAGATGCATTGTCATTAGTTATAAATTGAACACTCATTAGAGCTGACAAAATGTTGAACAGCAAAGTATCAAGCATTCCCTGTCATGATTTGAGGTTAAATTGTCCAAAGTGACTCAGCACAAGGGAGAATAGGTGTATTTCTGGGACACTTTTTGTATTTCAGACTCAAAATTCTCTTGAAAGAAATACAACTCGAACTTAGCTCATCATATCAAAAGCCAGATCACATAATCCTTCTCACTGAATAAAATCAGATGGGTCTGACAATGAGGTTGGAAGCTTTGCCAAGAGCTTTTGCTGTATGTTTCTCGAGGAGTGAGAGAGAGAGAGAAAGAGGATGCAACCTGAAGTTCAGCAGCAGCTATCACCACACAGTCAGCTACTCCTGAATCCCAGCACCTCAAGGATTAGAGGGTCCTGTTCAACACAGTAGCCACTAGGCACCTGTGGGTATTGGCCACGTGAAATGGGCTGGTTCCAACTGAGGTCAGCTGCAAGTGCAAACTATGTCCTGGATTTCACAGATTTAGAGTGGAAAAGAATGCAAACTCTCTTATTACGTGTTTAATTGATGATTTGTTGACGTGAGATTTGGATATATCGAAGTAAGTAAAACGTATTATTAAAATTAATTCCACCTGTTTGCTTTTTACTTTTTTAATGAGGCCACTAAAGACAACTTACCCATATGTTCCAAATAATTGAAAGTAGGATCTTGAAGAGGCATTTTCATGTCCATGTTCACAGCAGCATTGTTCACAAAAGCCAGATTTTCAATAGCTAAATGGATAAGCAAAATAAGGTCTATCTGCATAATGAAACCTCATTCAGCCATAAAAGATAATGAAGTACTAATACATCCTACAACATGCTTGAACCTTAATAACATCGTGGTAGGTGAAAGACGTCAGTCACAAAAGACCACATACTCTATGATTCCGTTCATATGAAAATCCAGAATGGAGGGGTCCACACAGACAGAAAGGAGGTAAATGGTTTCTTAGCCATGGGGGTGAGAAGATGGGGCCATTTGGAAAGAGTTCTAGGTTTCTTTTTGAGGTGATAAAAATGTTCTAAAATTGACTGTGGTGATGTTTGTACCTACTTGTGAATATATTGAAAACCATTGAGTCATACAGTTGAAGTGGGTGAGTTGTATGGAATGTGAATTATATCTCAACAAAGTTGTTTTTTTTTAAAAAAAAAAAAAAGAAAACTCTCAAGAAACTGATGGAAAGTTGGGAGAGGAGAATTTCAGGCAGAGAGAGTGGCACTTGCAAATAGGATCTGCTGTGAAGGAACAGATTTGTTCTCTCCCCTTGGATGGTGCTCCGTGTCTCTGTCCTTAATTAATACCCAGGCCAGGCTTTCACTGGGCCCCATGGCACTGGCATGGGACAAAGCTCTCCAGGCCTGTCTTGCCCAAAACACTGCTCGTACAACCCTTTATTGTGCATGCATGCAGCCTCACTGAAGCTTCTACTGGAAGAAACAGAAAAACTACCACATAACAGGAAGACAGGGTAAAAAAAAAAGTGCTCCTGGTGGAATACATTAAGTTGCTAGTGATAATTAACCTTGTTATTAAAAGCCACAGTAATTATTACACAAAAATAATGTAACCATGCAAAGTAACAAATCAAATGGACATGTTTGTAAAAATGAGGATTGAGGAAGATTTTTTCTTACTGAACTGCATAAAAGATGTTGCATTTGAAGCATCAGAAAGTGTTTCTCCACCAACAGCATCTCCAAAAAGTCAGAAATCTGACGAATACCATTCCCTTAAAGAACGAGACACTTTGCATGATTGCCTTTTACAGCCCTCACTGAGGCTGGAGACTTCCACAACTGAATCAAAAGAGATGGCTCAACTGTGCCAGGGAAAGGGAACTTTTGCCCTCTGATTCACTTAAAAGGCAGAATGACGGACAAGCCGACCTGCTCAGCCTGCAGGTGAGGGAGGGAATCCGAGCCGCTGGCACAGAGAGGAAAACCACACTGTTAGGTGTCCCGTTTACTTCATGTGCTCGCACCAGGGTGAGGACAGCAGGCCTCACCCCAAAACGCAGAAATGCTGGCATACTGTTCCCCTAAAAAGGAGCTGAAGAGGACATGATACAAACAGCACCTGCCACGTAACCCTCAAAAACATGAGGAAAATTACATGACACTTGTCAGTCCTTTTTGTTGATTCAAATATCTGTGGATTGATTACTAAATTTGTTGACTAATCCCTCAGGTAGTAAACAAGTCATGAAAACCTGAAGGCTATTATACAGCCTTTCCCACATTTTCAAATGTGTCCTGACCTCGACCAGGAATATTCTAGGGTCCGAAAGGGTGATTTATGTGATTCTATAAAGTGACATAATGAGACTGGCTATTAGCATATGTTCAAATACGTTCAAAGCCAGAACCTGGACATGCGATGTAGTGTTTAGGGCCTAACGAAGTAGACCCGATTGATCTTTCACACTTTCGAGAAGCAGGCAGGCGGCTCAGGGCAGGTAAGCAGCTCCGCTGCATGAAGTCATCTGGGGCTCTGATACCCTTGACATTGCACTGGCTTTCCTCGGGATGTTCTAATCATCCATGCCGTCGATACTGACTCCCCACCACACCCATGCTTAATCCTATGAGAAGAGAAACCGAGCCCCAAATCCCTCCTTTTAAGGGCCTTTCACTGCTGGGGGACTTAGATACATGGTCCAGCTTTTTCACTGGGGAAGCTGGGATATGCAGTCTCCAGCAGGCAGCCATATGCCCAACCAAAGCTCAGGAGAATGGGGCTTCTGAGTTTAAGACAGACAGAGGGAAGGGGCAGCAGAGGACAGTTAATGTTGCCATGCCTGCCTTAGCAAAGCAGTTGTGTGTTTCTCCTTAGCACAGAAGGCTATGTGCTTTGAAATGATTGGATTTTCAAAGTCATTTGACCATTTACTAACTCCTCTCCATCACTTCCTGTGCATTCTATAATTTCTCACCCTATCCCATTTTCCCAAACTCTTCCTCTGCATCCTGCTCGTATATATCAGCTCCCTAAATCCTCTCTTGCATACTGTAGTTCCTCTTTAAAAATTCTCTTCACCCCTAGCTATCAGCGAGCATGACTTTCCCAGCCTCCTTCTCCACGGGAATGTTTTTCCTCCCATATTGCACATAAGCCATGGCCTGCAGGTGGGGCAAGCACGCCCTTACTCCCACTGCTGTATTCACACGGTATCTCCTCCTTTCTCCTCCAAAAGCCTCCAGCTCCTTTGGAGCACACGCCATCTGACTAGACCACCTGCGTTTCCCTGCCATCTTCAGACCCCCCACGTTCTTTCCTTCATCCACCACGGACTTCAGCGGCTGGCTCCATCTTCATCTCTACCTACCCTTGTTACCATTTTCAGTGACTTCAGCTTGCGCGTAGATAATCCACTGAGCAGTGAGCTCTCAGATCCTTAGCTTTCTCTCCCACGACACTCTTTCCTCCACCATCCCATGAGACCCAGCCCCACGACCACACCTTAGCCCTTGCCATATAACAATAAATGCCCCACCCCATAAGACTGATACTGGCTGGGTGCAGTGGCTCACACTGTAATCCAAGCCCCTAGGGTGGGTGGATTGTCTGAGCTCAGGAGTCAGAGACCAGCCTGGGCAACATGGCAAAACCCCATCTGTACCCGAAATACAAAAAATTACCCAGGCGTGGTGGCAGGTGCCTGTGGTCCCAGCTACTCGGGAGGCTGAGGTAGGAGAATTGCTTGAGCCTGGGAAGCAGAGGTTGCAGTGAGCTGAGATTGTGTCCCTGCACTCCAGCCTGGATGACAGAGTGAGACTCTGTCTCAAAATAATAATAATAATATTAAAAAGACTGATGTTAACATCTCATTCTCCTACTAAGCCTTATCTTTCCAGCTCACTTACTCTGTGCTGCCTACTCCAACCATTTTCAACATTGTAAACCACAAATCCATTGACCTTAAAATGTTTTTATTATCTATCATCCCCTCCTGGTCTTACTTTGAACTTTCCCACTTTGGGGTCCAGGGCCCATCATTATAATCACGTTATTCAATTTGATAAACTATAACCACAAACTTTGTTTCCATTGAATTCACACAGCAAAGCAATAACCTATTCAGACCAACTATTCACCTACTCAGCGCTGTTAATAAAAGATCATGAAATCTGCAGAGGAAAAAGGAAGAGCTTTGTTGTCTATAAAACAGTTAAAAAAAAAAAAAAAAAAAAAAAACAACTCCCGCAGACATTTCTTCAGAAGCACAAATGAAAGTGTGTGCACCGAAGAACAAAGGAAGGGTTTATGGCTCAAATAGGAAAAGTTTTCTCCCAGGTTCTCTGTCACGTCTGTTTATGCAAATGTAGGATTCACGTGTGTTCAGTTCTTATTGGTTGAGATAGCCAAGCCTTGACTGGGTGGCTTCCCATCCCAACATTAAAAGTGTCTTTGTCAGGTGTTTTCTTTTAAAATGGCCAATGGGGTGGAGATGAGGAGTCTAGCCACTGTTTTTCTTGGCTCTGGTCACAGAAAGCACATGAAGTACGATGTTTGTGAAGAGATGGTTCTCCTCTCACTGCCCCTTATGGCCACTTGAATCTGTTATCTAAATTTGGGTGTCTCCATTAGTCACCGAGAGCCGATTTCCTCCGGAGAGCTTGAGGTCCCATTTACAATTCTATTTCACTGCACCATCAGCCAGCAGCTGAAGAAAATCACAAAGCCATAGTGACTGTCCACACTCTAAACTCAAGGTCACAAATCTGAAACACATACTTATCACCGTCCAGAGGTTGTGCTACACTTCCCTTGTAAACAAAACTCCAGTATTCAAGACATCCAAGTATTTCACACTTTCTTTATGCTCCTGAAGCCTCCAATATTTCTTCTTCTTCCTTCTCTATCGAGAAGAGATAGAGGAACTCCATCTCCCCTCCACCAACTCCAACCTTCCAGGAGGATGGAAGCAACGTCAAGGTGTTCCCATTCCTGTCTCAAGGCAACACCTCCCCCAGCACTCGGGACCTCACCAGCTCTCAAGGTGCACAGGCTTTGCTTCAGCTGTTTTCCGCTCTCTCCTCTGCACCATCATAATGTCATCCACACAAGAGAATTCTCACCAACACACTAACCAACTCCAAGATATCCTTCCCTCTGAAACCCTGCCCTGAGCCAGTGTCTTTCTAGCTCTTTTCCTCATTTCCACTCCCTTGAATTTCATTCTCTTCCTTCCATTCTTGTCAGTGTCCTTCCCCACCACTCCCATAAAGCTCCTTTTATCATCGCCACCAGTGGCCTTCATGTTTCCGAATATGGTGATTCATTTTCTTTCTTTCTGCCAAATATGGTGATTCGTTTTCTTTCAGCAGCATCCGGCAGACCTGAGAATGCTTGTTGAGGCATTTCCTTCTATCAGCTTCCCTGCCACCTTCTCCAGTCAATCCCCTTGCTTCTCTGGCTACTCCTCGGTCTTCTCTGAGGGCTTTGGCTTCTCTGCCAGACTTCTAAACCCTGATGTTTGTCCTGGGCCTTCTCCCTTCTCTATCTATCCTCCCTATCTCCACTTAAGCTAAGTTGGGTCACGCTTTCAAATACTATCATCCCTAAGTGTATGACTTCCAAATTTATATTTTCTAGTCCTGACTAGCCATAGATTCCTAATAAGCCTCTGAAACTTAACACATCCAAAACATTCAATCCAAGAAAATAGAACTATCCACCCAGTTGCTTCAGCCAAAAGTCTAGAAGTCCCATTCTTTCCCCCTCACTTCCCACAATCAGCTCACCAGCTGAATCTGCCCTCTTCTCTCTCACACCATTGCACCACCCAGTCCAACTCATGAACCATTTCCTCAAGTACTGTAATGACTTCTTAACTGTTTCTGTTCTTGCCCACTTATAATCCCTTTTCCACAGAGGAAACACAATAATCTATTTTAGGTATAAATAAAAGCATGTCATTCTTTGGTTAAGCCTTCCAGTAGCTTCCCATTCCTCTTGGATAAAATTCAAACTCCTTACTATGTTCCACAGAGCCCTGTATTATCTGGCTCTTGTTTATCTTTCTATTTTTATCTCCTGCCACACTCTGCCTGGCTTACCGCATCTGCGTCACATTGACCTTCTGTGAGTATTTCAAATGCTCTTTATTCCTCACCACACTCCAAGCTCTTCTCTTTGCCTGTTCCTCACCACACTCCAAGCTTCTCTCCAAGCCTGTTCCTCACCACACTCCAAGCTTCTCTCCTTGCCTGTTCCTCACCACACTCCAAGCTCCTCTCCTTGCCTGTTCCTCACCACACTCCAAGCTTCTCTCCTTGCCTGTTCCTCGCCACACTCCAAGCTCCTCTCCTTGCCTGTTCCTCACCACACTCCAAGCTTCTCTCCTTGCCTGTTCCTCACCACACTCCAAGCTTCTCTCCTGCCTGTTCCTCACCACACTCCAAGCTTCTCTCCTGCCTGTTCCTCACCACACTCCAAGCTTCTCTCCTGCCTGTTCCTCACCACACTCCAAGCTTCTCTCCTGCCTGTTCCTCACCACACTCCAAGCTTCTCTCCTGCCTGTTCCTCACCACACTCCAAGCTCCTCTCCAAGCCTGTTCCTCACCACACTCCAAGCTTCTCTCCTCCCTGTTCCTCACCACACTCCAAGTTTCTCTCCTGCCTGTTCCTCACCACACTCCAAGCTTCTCTCCTGCCTGTTCCTCACCACACTCCAAGCTTCTCTCCAAGCCTGTTCCTCACCACACTCCAAGCTCCTCTCCTTGCCTGTTCCTCACCACACTCCAAGCTCCTCTCCTTGCCTGTTCCTCACCACACTCCAAGCTTCTCTCCAAGCCTGTTCCTCACCACACTCCAAGCTTCTCTCCTGCCTGTTCCTCACCACACTCCAAGCTCCTCTCCTTGCCTGTTCCTCACCACACTCCAAGCTCCTCTCCTTGCCTGTTCCTCACCACACTCCAAGCTTCCCTCCTTGCCTGTTCCTCACCACACTCCAAGCTTCCCTCCTTGCCTGTTCCTCACCACACTCCAAGCTTCTCTCCAAGCCTGTTCCTCACCACACTCCAAGCTTCTCTCCAAGCCTGTTCCTCACCACACTCCAAGCTTCTCTCCAAGCCTGTTCCTCACCACACTCCAAGCTTCTCTCCAAGCCTGTTCCTCACCACACTCCAAGCTTCTCTCCAAGCCTGTTCCTCACCACACTCCAAGCTTCTCTCCAAGCCTGTTCCTCACCACACTCCAAGCTCCTCTCCTTGCCTGTTCCTCACCACACTCCAAGCTTCTCTCCTGCCTGTTCCTCACCACACTCCAAGCTCCTCTCCAAGCCTGTTCCTCACCACACTCCAAGCTCCTCTCCTTGCCTGTTCCTCCATCTGAAATGCTGTTCCCCTAGACCTTTATATCTGTCTCCTCCATGTTTAACAATTTTATGGATTTTTATTTGGAATTCACATTAATATTGATGACATTAAAGTACATATAAATTCATATCCATATTGTATTTAGATCAATGATGGGTTTATATAAATGTAAATTTTAGTTCCAACAATTTGGGTCATCCGTGAATACAAGTATGTTTAATATAAAATGTATTTTAATATAAAAAAGCTATTGATAATGTCATATAGATTGGAAATTTTAAACTCTATTGATGAACATTGAGTCTCTTTTCACTTAAATGTTATATTGCATAAATCAAACACTTTGTCAAAACAAAGCAATAAATGAACAGACAGGTAGGTGATAATTTCTGGCAATGACAAAGCTATGTAAAAATCTAACAGTGTAAAGTGATGTGGCAGGTATGCGAAGGCGTCTAATTTAAGTAAAATCAGCAAGGAGGATCTCAGAAGAGATGGCGCTGGAGTCATGTTCTCAAGTAGAGATGAGCATGTTTTGAAATGATATGGTCAGAGCCTCACGTGATTTGAATACTATTTCTTACATATCTACTGGTGAGTTTCAGAGGCAAACAAGAACTTGAATGAGAGTACATTAGAAAACTAATTATATTTCAAGAATATTTTACAAATGGTTTGAGGTAGGCTTAGTGATATGGTTTGGCTGTGTTCCCACCCAATTCTCACCTTGAATTGTAATAATCCCTGCACATTAGCCACCTGGCGGGGCCAGGTGGAGATAATTGAATCATGGAGGCCGTTTCCTCCCATACTGTTCCCGTGGTAGTGAATAAGTCTCATGAGATCTGTTGGTTTTATAGAGGGGAATTTCCCTGCACAAGCTCTCTGTTGCCTGCTGCCATGTAAGATGTGTCCTTCTTCCTCTTCACTTTCTGCCATGATTGTGAGGCCTCCCCAGCCATGTGGAACTGTGAGCCAATTAAACCTCCTTCCTTTGTAAATTACCCAGTCCCAGGTATGTCTTTATTAGCAGCACGAGAACAGACTAATACACTTAGCTTACGTACAAATTATAATAATTATAATAACTTGTACCTAAGCTAAGCCTGCCTCAAACCATTCTTGAAATATGATTGTCCACTTTCCAATTCAAAAAGTACCAAATTTCTTAGATTAATACATTTTTAAAATGCCTAAATAAGGAAGGGTTTTCAAACAGAAGGCTTCCCATTTAGGTTTCTGCTGCTTCTTGTCCTATAGTATTTAAACACCACCATCCAGGACATCCAAGAAACGGTGGTTCCTTCTTAAGACAAAGGACCATTCATCTTTATCTTTCTATAGTATTGCACACCTCTGGCATATAATAAGCATTCAAAAACCATTTGATCAACCAATCAATCAATCTTTTATCCTCCAATGTCAAGCTAAGTCAGTTTCTAACATGTAGAAAACACTAAATCAATGTGTTTGTTGAGTTAGCATGTTATGAATACATCATTCATCTAAATCCCTGAGTTTTGGAGGCAGGAAAATCAGAAGGATGCTGGCATTGGAGATGGGCAAGTCTGGAGTCAAGGGAGCCCCAGCCCCACTCTGCAGTATCTATTTGGACTTAAACAAGTCCAGTAACCTTTCTGCATTTCAGACACTTCATCTGTTACAAAAGGATTATAGCTTTCAAGGTGCCGCGAGGGGTTGAAAGACAATGTGTGGAGCTCCCAACAAAGTGTGTGGCCCAGGGTAAGCCCAAGAATCATAAAAGTCGATGTGATGATGGTGTTATTATTAAGTGCCTTGTACATGTTTATGCCTTGGGTGCCCACGAATACAATTAGTAATGACTATTTTCATCATTGTGGGCACCAAGAGGCTTTCTGAGGTTTTTTTCCAAGCAGAACAGAACCAAGAACTAATTATTATACTCCAAACCCTTATTCTTAGTCTCAAGACTAAGCAGCACATGCCATGAGAGTTAGAGTCCTCCCTCCAGCTAGGAGCCTCTGCTAGGAAGCAGGCCAGTGAGCTATCCATAAAAGCACAACCTCTGCTAGAGAACAGTAAGCTGCAGACAGGTTTTATATGTGGCTATTCTTCTCAGACCAGAAGAGACATTCTGTTGGCATTTTCATCTAACAGTATAAAGTTACAATACAAATATAAGGGTAGTTGTTATTGGATAACACTTTAACAGCATTTTCTTTTTAAATCTCTGTATAGAGAGGATTTCTATTAACATATAACAGGCCAAAAACCTGAGCATCATCCTGAGCATCATTCTTTCTCTCACGCCCTGCCTCCAATCCCTCAGAAAATGTGATTGTCCTACTTTCAAGATCTACCCAAATCTGGCTTTTCTCACCACCTCCAATGCTACAACCTGGTTGGAGTCACCATCATCTTTCACTGGGAGGTTGCACAAGCCTCTCACAGACTCCACTGTTTCTACCCCTGACCCCTGCAGTCTACTCTGAGCACAGCAGTCAGAAGCATTCTTTTGAGACTTCCTTTTAGACACACTTCTGCCCAGCACCCTGCAATCGCTTTCCACTTCTGAGCTGGTGGGCTCTGAGGCCATCCGTGGTCTGGACCCAATACCAGTCCAACCTCCCCTCTGAAAGCTCCACCCTCCCTCACTGCTGCAGCCATGCCAGACTCCATGCTCATCCATGGATGCAAGAGGCAAGCACCTGTCTCATGATCCTTGCTCTATCTGCTCTCCATTTGGAAGTCTCTTCTCTCAGATAGCCATGATCTATTTCTTTATCTTTTTCAAATTTTGGCTCAAGCTTCTTCTTTTCAGGGGGTCTACCCACTGCTCTGATCACCCCGCTTAACCCTGAAACCTCCCTCACCCAGACACACACAGCACAGCACTCTGCACTCTCATCACTCTGTCCTACTGTTCTCCATAATTCTGTTCACTTTTACCACTCTGTACTGCCCACTTTATTGTGTTTATTGTTGACTACCTGCCCCTCCCTGTGAAAAACAAGCACCTTGAGGATGGAGATCTTTGTCTCTTTTGTTCACTGATTTGCTGAAGCACAGAAAACTTATGAGCAGTGCTTGGCTCATAGCAGGTACTCAGGAAATACTGAATCAGTGAATATAAACTAAGAAGACAATGATGCCTTACCATGAGTGGAAAGATGCCCATCATGTGGGAAGCAAGCAAATCTTTATGTGTGCAAAATCAGGGCTTTGCCACCTGTTTAGAGCAACCATTTCTTCCTCTGCTTAGAGGCATCAACAGGATATGAGCAGGTGTTTAGTAGAGAATATAATCAGTTTAGTTTTTCAGAGCAGATGATACAAAAATATTCTTCTCACACAGATTATGAGATATTGAGCCTAACGGTTTTGAAATTTAGGAAAAGTTAATATGAATGAGAGAAAAATAACCAAAAAGAAATAGCAATTATTCCTTACTAATGTTATTTTTCTGTCTGCAAAGTAAACATAGTAAAAGAAATTTTTCACTTTAAGTTATGAAAGTTGACACTATTATCTATAATTTTTACATGTGCCTCTATTATATGTCCTCTAGCCTTTCACTAAACTAGACCCATTGTAATCTGCTATTATTTGTACTTATTTTACCTATAATTTGGAAATAAGGTGATTAGCATATTTTTCCTTAAATTTTATTCCTGGTCTCAAAGACTTTTTCGACATAGTCATTAACTCTAAGACTAAACAAAAGTGAATAGCTAAAGAAAAGGTTATACTGGGCTGGAAAGCTACAGGTTGAAGGCCAGTTTGGCCCACATTTTTTTTTTTTTTATAAAGATGATTGAAACAGCCATGCCCATTCACCTGCCTCTTGTCCATGGCTGCTTTCTAACTGGCAGAGTTGAGTATTTGTGACAGAGACCATATGGCCACAGAGCCAAAAATATTTACTCTCTGTCCCTTTACAGAAAACGTTTGCTGACCTTTATGAGGCAGTCGATCTTCCTCCTACTGGCTTTTCACATGTTGCTGTGTGTCTGTGTGAGGTCATTTATTGAGCACCAAATGTGCCAAATATGCATCATGACTATGCGTCTAGCACAAGACGGTGACGATCGCAAACATGTCATGATAGTTGCCGAAGGTGCTGTGGACAAACATCACTCCCTTCCCTCCACGTTAGAGACAAGATGGGAAAGAGAAGTGGGGAGAAATTGTTCATATCCACAAAAAGACGTCCTTCACTAAAGAGCACTGGCTCAGCCCTTGAATGCTGAGAAACTAAAAACAGAGAAAGGTTAAGGACACAGGAAACAGGGATGACGAATAGCTCCTTACATTTTCTAATAACTCAGGGTATTGCAGGTGGCCAGAGCCAACCCAAATCATCACATCCAAACATGGGACAAGGCAAAACCTGAAACTGTTAAGAGACATGCAGCGTCAGTTTGATTCCCGCTGCGGACGAGGGGCAGCCTGCACATGCTGAGGATGGACCCCGACCCTCCTGTTGCTAGCAGGCTGAGGGCAATGCCATCTCTATGCTACCTTGTGTCAGGTCACCACAGTGTCCCCAGCATCTGAATGCTGAGTGCAACCAAGGCTTTAGTTCAGCAACGTGAAACACCAGCTGCACTCCACACCCCGGCACCCCCACGCTGCATCCCACACCCCGGCACCCCCACGCTGCACTCCACACCCCGGCACTCACACGCCGCACTCCACACCCCGGCACCCCCACGCTGCACTCCACACCCCGCCTCTCACACGCTGCATCCCACACCCCGGCACCCCCACGCTGCACTCCACACCCCGGCACTCCCACGCTGCATCCCACCCTAGGAAAGCACAAGGAAATCATGTGAGCACCACAGGGGCCAATTTGTGCTGCATCTTCTCCAGCATTCCAGTCAACAGACACTGAGCAGTAGACAGGAAAGAATTCCTCAAGCTGAGTTCAACAGGAATCCCTTCCTTGAGAATATGTACCAGACCACAGGATTATTTTAGAAAGCATTAATCCTAGGAACATGTACTTGGGGTGATTCCTAACAGACTAGGAGTTATAAATAGAGCACAGACATATTTGGTCTATAAATAAAATTCTTTTAACTGATGTTTTATTGTGGTAAGATATACATGACTAAAATGTGCCATTTTAATGATTTTCAAATGTACAACTCAGTGGCATTAAATTCATTCCCATTGTTGTGCAGCCATCACCAATATCCACTCCAGCACTTTTCATCATCCCACACTGAAACGCTGTACCTTTCAGGTAGGAGAGAAAAAACACCAGAGAGGAGACAGGACTAACGTGCAGCTCCCATTTAGACAAACAGATCAGCGTCTGGAGATTCACATTGTGAACTTCTGTTCCAAGAACCAGTGTAGGGACATACTAGGGAGACTGAAAGAATTCACAGACCCTTTGAAAGAAGTGGCTTGCCACTGCAAATGCTGCAAGACAGCTGAAAAACTGTGAGTTCCCAAAGTGTGAGAGGCGAAAAAGTCTGCCTCTGAACACACATCCCCACTGGGGAACCTGAAAATTCAGATCACAGGAGAAGGCTTTAATCTTACCTAGAGCTGAAATGGATTTAGGAAGCCGAGCAAAATATAAAAGTAGAAGAAGCAGTGGGAAGAGCCCTGTAGGCACTCCCAGTCCCCAGCGAAGCCCAGGGAAGCCATTCCTGGCCTTATGTCACAGTCCTTGGGGAAGGGAGGGGAGCCAGTGAAATTGCAGAGGGGCCACAGGGTGACAGAAGCTCCTAGCTGAACTTTGTAATAATTTTGACTGAGCACAAACTTTCCTGAGTAGAATGGAGATGGTGGGTTGTGGGAGTGGGTGGCAAATGGGAAGCACAATAGAGCACAGAAGCTTGCAGCCAAAGGTGTGAGCAGGCAGAGAGGTGAAGCCTGAGAGCCCTGCTTGCTTTCTCAGTGGAATGGCTTGTAGCCTGGGGCAAGATCTCAGCCCTGCTCACTGGCTGCCAGGATATAAACTCAGTGCAGTTTGGGTGGCATACAGGAGACTGGCCCCACTGGCTGCATGAGAGCTGGGTGAGGCCTGTCACTGGCAGCTTTCCCCCACCTTCCCTGGCAACCAGAATGATGCAGCAAAGGCTCCATTGGCCTGAGAACCACCCCATAATCCCCCATAGTGGCTGAAGCAAGCCCTGCCCAAGGAGAGTCTGAGCTTAGACATGCCTAGCCCTGTCTTCAGCTGATGGTTTTTCTCTACCTGCCCTGGTAGCTGAAGACAAAAGACATAAACTCTTGGGAGCTCTATGTCCCTGCCCATCACCTGAGAAACCCGAGTACTTATCCTGGCCAACATAGGGCAAGATGGTAGCCCCCTTCTACAACTGTAGCTTGTGCTCTCTTGAGAGTGCCACCTCCTGGCTGGAGGCCAACCAACTGAAGCCATTACAGCAACTCATAAGAGAACAACCCTGCTCCATAGAAGGAGAAAACAACAGCTAATTCCACGGTCTGCAACATCCTGGCTAACCAGAGGTCCTGAGTCTGTCCATGTGAAAATTTCACTGCTAGCATAACCAGCATTTGAGAAAACCATCACATTACAACAACCAAAAAATCCCAGAGTTCACTTCACTCCCCTGCCACCTCCACCAGAGCAGGGGCTGTTATCCAGAATTGGGAGACCTGAAGACAAATCACAGCACAGGACTTTTTGCAGACATTCTGCAGCACCGGCCTGGAGCCCAGTAGCCCCACTGGGTGTCTAGACCCAGAAGGGCATTAGCAATCACTGCAATCTGGCTCTCAAGAAGCCCTATCCCTAGAGGAAGGGGGAGGGCACACATCAAGAGAGCACCACCACGTGGGACAAGAGAATCTGAATAGCAGCCCTTGAGTTCCAGATCTTTCCACTGAAACAGTCTACCCAAATGAAAAGAAACCAAAAAAGTAATTCTGGTAATATGACAAAACAAGTTGTATAGTACCGCCAAAAGATCACACTAGCTCTCCAGCTGTGGATCCAAACCAAGAAGAAATCTCTGAATTGCCAAAAAAAAAAAAAAAAAAAAAAAAAAAAAAAAAAAAAATTGGGAGGTTGGTTATTAAGCTATTCAAGGAGGCACCAGAATAAGGTGAAAACCAACTTCAAGAAATGTTGAAAACAATACAGTATATGGATGAAAAAGTCTCCAGAGAAACAGGTATCATAAAGCAAAGACAATCACAATTTCTGGAAATGAAAGACACACTTAGAAAAATATAAAATACACTGAAAAGTTTCAACAATAGAATAAAACAAGTAGAATAAAGAACTTCAGAGCTCAATGACAAGGCTTTCAAATTAACTGAAAAAAAGAGACAAAGAAAAAAGAATTTTAAAAAATTAACAGACTCCAAGAAATTTGGGGTTTTGTTAAATAACCAAGCATAAGAATAATTGGCATTCCTGAGGAAGAAAAGAAATCTAAATGTTTGGAAAACTTATTTGAGGGAATACTCAGGGAAAACTTCCCTGGCCTTGCTAGAGATCTAGACATCCAAATACAAGAAGCTCAAAGAACACCTGGGAAATTCATCACAAAAAGATCATCACCTATGCACATAGTCATCAGGTTATCTAAAGTTAAGATGAAAGAAATAATCTTAAGAGCTGTGAGGCAAAAGCAGCAGGTAACCTATAAAGAAAAAGCTATCAGATTGACAACAGATTCCTCAGCAGAAACCCTACAGGACAGAAGGGATGGGGTCCTATATTTAGCCTCCTTAAACAAAACAATAACAGTCAAGAATTTTATATCTAGTGAAACTAAGCTTCATAAATGAAGGAGAGATAAAGTATTTTTCAAACAAACAAATGTTGAGAGAATTTGTTACTACCAAGCCAGCACTACAAAAAATGCTAAAAGGAGTCTTAAATCTTGAAATGAAACCTAAAATACACCAAAATAGAACCTCTTTAAAGCATAAATCTCACAGGATCTATAAAACAATAACACAATTAAAAAAACAACATATTGAGACTACAACTAGCATGATGAATAGAACAGTACCTCACATCTCAATATTAATGTTGAACATAAATGGATTAAATGCTTCACTTAAGAGATACAGGGCTGGGAACGGTGGCTTACACCTGTAATCCCAGCACTTTGGAAGGCAGAGGTGGGCAGATCATGAGGTCAAGAGATCTAGACCATCCTGGCCAACATTGTGAAACCCCGTCTCTACTAAAAACACAAAAATTAGCTAAGCGAGGTGGTACAAGCCATTAGTCCCAGCTACTCGGGACACTGAGGCAGGAGAATCACTTGAACTCGGGAGGTGGAGGTTGCAGTGAGCCAAGATCAGACCACTGCACTCCAGCCTGGTGACCGAGCGAGACTCCATCTCAAAAAAAAAAAAAAAGATACAGAATGACAGAATGAATAAAAATCCACCAATCAAGTATCTGCTGTCTTTAAGAGGTGCATCTAACACATAAGGCCTCACCTGAACCTAAGGTAACCAAGTGGAAAAAGATATTCCACACAAATGGATACCAAAAGTGAGTAGAAGTATCCATTCTTGTATCAGACAGAAAAGACTTTAAATCAGCAACAGTTAAATAGTGATCAAAAACTAGTCCAACAGGAGAAAAATCACAGTCCTAAATACATATGCACCTAACACTGGAGCTCCAAAATTTATAGAACAATTATCATGAGACCTAAGAAATTAGATAGACAGCAACACTATAATAGTGGGCACTTCAGTACTCCACTGACCACTAGAAAGGCCATAAATACAGGTCAACAAAGAAACAATGGAAAACTACACCCTAGAACAAATGGACTTAACAGATGTTTATAGAACATTCTATCCGACAACTGCTGAATATACGTTCTTCTCCTCAGCACATGGAACATTCTCCAAAATAGACTATATGATAGGCCACTAAATGTGTCTCGGCCGGGTGTGGTGGCTCACACCTGTAATCCCAGCACTTTGGGAGGCCAAGGCAGACATATCACCTGAGGTCAAGAGTTTGAGACCAGCCTGGCCAACATGGCAAAACCCTGTCTCTACTAAAAATACAAAAACAATTAGCTGGGCATAGTGGCATGCACCTGTAGTCCCAGCTACTAGGGAAGGTGAGGCAGAAGAATCACTTGAACCTGGGAGGAGGAAGTTTCAGTGAGCTGAGATCATGCCACTGCACTCCAGCCTGGGCAACAAGAGTGAGACTCCATCTAAAAAAAAAAAAAAAAAAACCATGTCTCAATTAATTTAAGAAAATTGAAATTATGTAAAATACTCTCTCTCAGACCACAGTGGAATAAAATTACAAATTAACTGTCAAAGGAGCCATCAAAACTATACAAATACATGGAAACTAAATAATCTGTTCCAGAATGATCCTTGGGTTAAATAAAATAAAGATGGAAATTAAAAAATATATTTGAACTGAACAAAAATAGTGACACAGCCAATCAAAATCTCTGGGACACAGCAAAAGCGGTGCTAAGAGGAGAGTTCATAGCATTGAATGCCTACATCAAAGAGTCTGAAAGAGCACAAATAAACAACCCAAGGTCACACCTCAAGGAACTAGAGAAGCAAGAACAGACCAAACCCAAATCCAGCAGAAAAAAAGAAATAACCAGGATCACAGTAGAACTAAATAAAATTGAAACAAGCAAACAAAAACAATACAAAAGATAAATGAAGCAAAAAGCTGGTTCTTTTTGCATAAACAAAAGTGAGATACTATTAGCAAGATTAATCAAGAGAAAAAGAGAGGAGATCCAAGTAAACTCAATTAGAAATGAAATGGGAGATGTTAAACTAATACCACAGAAATACAAAAGATCATTCAAGGCTACTATGAACACCTTTATGTCCACAAACTAGAAAACCTAAAAGATTTGGATAAATTATTGGAAATATATAATCCTCCTAGATTAAACCAGAAAAAAATAGAAACTCTGAACAGACCAATAACAAGTAGCAAGATTAAAACAGCAATAAAAAAACTGCCAGCAACAACAAGTCCAGGAGCAGCTGGATTCTATCAGACATTCAAAGAAGAATTGGTACCAATCCTACTGAAACTATTCCAAAAGATAGAGAAAGAGGGAATCCTCCCTAAATCATTCTATGAAGCCAGAATTACCCTAATACCAAAACCAGGAAAAGATATAACAAAAAAAAGAAAACTACAAACCAATATCCCTGATGAACATAGATGTGAAAATCCTCCACAAAATACTATCTAACTCAATTCAACAGCATATCAAAAAGATAATCCACCATGATCAAGTGTGTTTGATAACAGGGATACAGGGATGGTTTAACATATGCAAGTCAATAAATGTGATACAGCACATAAACAGAAGTAAAATCAAAAGTCATATGATCACCTCAATAGATGCAGAAAAAGCATTTGATGAAATCCAGCATCCCTTTATGATTAAAACCCTCAGCAAAACAGCATAGAGGGACATACCTTAAGGTAATAAAAGCCATTTATGACAAATCCACAGCCAACATCATACTGAATGGGAAAAGCTCAAAGAATTTTCTCTAATCAGTGGAACAAAACAAGGATGCCCACTTTCACCACTTGTATTCAACATAGTACTGAAAGTCTTAGCCAGAGCAATTAGACAAGAGAGGTAAATAAAAGGCATCCAAATCAGTAATGAGAAAGTCAAACTGTTGCTAATGCCACTGACATGACGGTATACTTAGAAAACCCTAAAGACTCATCCCAAAAGCTCATAGATCTAATAAACGAATTCAGTAAAGTTTCAGGTACAAAATTAATGTACACAAATCAGTAGCACTGCTATACACCAACAATGACCAAGCTTAGAATCAAATAAAGAATTCAATGTCTTTTACAACAGCTACAAAGAAGTAAAATACTTAAGAATATACCCAACCAAAAATGTGAAAAATCTCTACAAGGAAAACTACAAAACACTGCTGAAAGAAATCACAGACAACACAAACAAATGGAAACACATCCTATGCTCATGGATGGGTAGAATCAATATTGTGAAAAGGATAATTCTGCTGAAAGCAATTTATAAATTCAATGCAATTCCCATCAAAATACCATCATCATTTTTCACAGAACTAGAAAAAACAATCCTAAAATTCATATGGAACCAAAAAAGAGCCCATATGGCCAAAGCAAGATTAAATAAGCAAAAAGAACGAATCTGGAGGCATCACATTCTCTCACTTCAAGCTATACTACAAGGCTATAGCTACCAAAACAGCATAGAACTGATGAAAAAATAAGCACATAGACCAATAAAACAGAATAGAGAACTCAGAAATAAAGCCAAATACTTATGATCAACTGATCTTCCACAAAGCAAACAAAACATAAAATGGAGAAAGGATCCCCTATTAACACATGCTGCTGGGATAATTGGCAAGCCACATGTACAGGAATGAAACTAAATCCTCATCTCTCACCTTATACAAAATCAACTCAAAATGGATCAAAGACTTAAATCTAAGACCTGAAACCATAAAAATTCTAGAAGATAACACTGGAAAAACTCTTCTAGACATTGGCCTAGGCAAAAAGTTAATGATCAAGAACTCAAAAGCAAATGCAATAAAAACAAAGATAAACCGATGAGACTTAATTAAAGTAAAAACATTCTGCAAATCAAAAGAAATAATCATCATAGTAAACAGTCAATGCACAGAGTGGGAGAAAAGATTCGCAAACTACAAACTATGTATCCAATAGAGGACTAATATTCATAATCTACAAGAAACTCAAACAAATCAACAAGATAAAAACAAACACATCAAAAAGTGAGCTAAGGCCATGAACAGACAATTCTCAAAAGAAGATATACTAATGGCCATCAAACATATAAAGAAATGCACAACATCACTAATTATCATGGAAATGCAAATCAAAACCACAATGCAATACCACCTTTCTCCTGCAAAAATGGCCATAATTTTAAAAATCAAAAAATTATAGACGTTGGTATGGATGTTGTGAAAAGGGAACACTTTTACACTGCTTGTAGAAACGTAAACTAGTATAACTACTATGAAAAACAGTATGGAAATTCCTTAAAGAACTAAAAGTAGAACTTCCGTTTGATCCAGCAATCCCACTTGTGAGTATCTACCCAGACGAAAAGAAGTCATTCTATGAAAAAGACACTTGCACACACATTTATAGCAGCACAGTTTAACAGTTGCAAAAATAAGGAACCAGCCCAAATGCCCATCAATCAATAGTGGATAAAGAAAATGTGGTGTATATATATACCATGGAATATTACTCAGCCATAAAAATGAATGAAATAATGGTATTTGCAGCAACCTTGATGGAGTTGGAGATCACTATTCTAACTGATGTAAATCAGGAATGGAAAACCAAACATCGTATGTTCTGACTTATAAGTGGAAGCTATGCTATGGGGACGCAAAGGCGTAAGAATGACATAATGGACTCTGGGACTTGAGGAGAAGTGGGTGATAAGGGACAAAAGGCTATACATTGGGTACAGTGTACACTGCTTGGGTGATGGGTGCACCAAAATCTCATAATCACCACTCAAGAACTTATCCATGTAACGAAACACCACCTGCTTTCTCAAAACTATTGAAATAATAATAATTAAAAAAAAAAACCTCTGTACCTTTCAAACAATAACTCTCCATTCTGCCTTCCCCCAGCCCCTGGCAACCATCATTCTGCTTTCTGTCCCCATGAATCTTACTAAGTATATTGTATGAGGGGAATCACAGAATATTTGTCATTTTGTGACTGACTTATTTCACTTAGCATAACATCTTCAAGGTTTATCCATGTTGTAGTATGTCTCAGAATTTCATTGCCTCTTAATGCTGATTAATATTTCATTGTATGTATGTAGCACATTTTGCTTATCTATTCTTCCACTGATGGATCTTTGGGTTGCTTCCACGTTTTAGCTGTTGCAAGTAATGCTGCTATGGACATGGGTATACACACATTTGTTTAGGTCCCTACTTTCAATTCTTTTGGATATATCCCCAGAAGTGAAAATGCTGAATGACAAGATATATCTATTTTCAATTTCTTGAAGAACCTCCAAACTGTTTTCCATTGCTACTGTACCATTTTACATTCCCACCAGCAGTGTCAAGGGTTCAAATATCTGTTTTTGTTTTTGTTTTCTAGTAGTAGCCAAACTAATGGCTAGAAAGTGGTACATTGTTGCAGTTTTGATATGCATCCCTATTAATTAGTGATATTGGGCACAGGCACATTTTTAAAAACATACAATCAATAAAATTGTTAGGTCATGGGGATTGAAAGTGGTCAGTTTTTCTGGGTAATATTTATTGCTCTTCAAAGTGATTTGCATTTACAAGAATTGTTAACACATAACAAGCATCCTAGATTTGTTTTAAGAAACAAGGGACTTTACAATTTTTCACTTTTAGTTAACTTTGAAATACTAAGATTTATAGAAAAGTTGTAAGGATAGTATAAAGTGTTCCAGGAAGCCTTCCACCCAGTCTCCCCTAATTGTAGCGTGTTATATAACCATGACACATTTATCAAAACTAAGAAATCAACATTGCTACACTATTGACTAAACTATGGACTTTATTTGTCTTTTTGCCAGTTTTTCCAATAATACCCTTTTCCTATTCAAGGATCCAATCCAGAATACCACGTTGCATTCATCTGTTATGTCTTCTTAGTCTCTGCCAATCCGTGACAGCGTCGCTGTCTTCCCTTGTTACTCATGAACTTGACACTTTTGAAGAGTATTAGTCAGGTATTTTGTAGAATGCTCCTCAGTTGCTGATGTTTTCTCATGATTGGACTGGCATTCTGGATTTGGGGGTAAGGTAACACAGTGGTGACGTCCTTCTCGTTGCATCATTTCCGGGGATGCTTGACATCAACACTACTTATCATTGGTGATGCTCACCTCCATCACTTGGATAAGGCCAAATCTTTCAGATTTTTTCGCTGTAGGGTCACTATTTTTACTTTTCCAAAACTCTATTTATTACAAGCAAGGCACTAAATCCAGCTTACTTTCATAAGGAGGGAAATTAAACTCCACCTGCTGGAGGAAAAAGTATGAAAGAATTTGTGGATATATGTTAAATTCAGTACAGTAATTAATAAATCTTTGGGCACAGATATTTGAGGTTATGCAAATATCCTGTTTCTTCCTTATGTTTCAGACACTAATTTCAGCAGTCTTCCATGAATCTTCCCTATGGCGACTATTACTGTGGTATTCTAGTGGTGTATTAGTCCATTCTTACACTGCTAATAAAGACATATGGGAGACTGGGTAATTTATAAAGAAAAAGATGTTTAATGGACTCACAGTTCCACAGGACTGGGGAGGCCTCACAATCATGGCGGAAGGCAAAGATAGAGCAAAGGCACATCTTGTATGGTGGTAAGCAAGAGAGCATGTGGAGGGGAACTGCCCTTTATAAACCATCAGATCTCATGAGATTTATTCACTATCACCAGAACAGCATGGGAAAAAATCAGAGCCATTATTCAATTACCTCCCACTGGGTACCTCCCAGGTCAGGTGGGGATTATGGGAGCTACAATTCAAGACAAGATTTGAGTGGGGACACAGCCAAACCACATCAAGTGGTGTCTTCCATTTCCCTCATTTCTTTTATGTTTACTATTTGGAAATCTTCCACAAGGAAGATTTTTTTCACTTCTCCTTCAATTATTTATGTATGTAACCATTTATTTTTATCAGTATAAACTCACTGATATTTACTTTTTTCTTTGGGTTATAACTCAGTAGTATTTTTATTAATTTTGTTGTTCAAAGTTTTCCAGCTTTGGCCACTGGGAGCTCTTTCAGGTTGGCTGCATGTTGCTTTGTCAGGCCTGTTCCCTGACCCCTTACTTTCTGGCAACACAAGGTCCTCCAGGTTCATCATGCATTTTCCCTTCCCTAGCCCTTGAGTCAGGCAGTTCTCCAGGGAGTCCTAGTTCAACAGGGACAACTTTTCAAATCAACTTCCATGTGTTGCTATGTATAATTTTCAGATTATTTCTTTTCTTTTTTTTTTTTTGAGATGGAGTCTCGCTCTTTCGCCCAGGCCAGAGTGCAGTGGCACGATCTCCGCTCACTGCAAGCTCTGCCTACTAGGTTCATGCCATTCTCCTGTCTCAGCCTCCTGAGTAGCTGGGACTACAGGCACCCGCCACCACGCCTGGCTAATTTTTTTTTTTTTTTTTTTTTGTATTTTTAGTAGAGACGGGGTTTCACTGTGTTAGCCAGGATGGTCTCCATCTCCTGACCTTGTGATCCGCCCGTCTTGGCCTCCCAAAGTGCTGGGATTACAGGCATGAGCCACCACGCCCGGCCAATTTTCAGATTATCTCTATGCTATAATTAATGCTATAATTAACTATAGATTTTCCATAATTAAGTCATATGTATTACAGCACTCAGACTAACAGGCTGCAGTAAGAAGGAACATGAACCTATCACCAATGCTTTACCCTTCTTTCTCTAGCACTCACCTGGTAATCTCTGTGGGCCCAACTGGCTCTAAGATTCTATGATTCTATAATGAAAAGACAAAAGGCAAAAGATGTTCCCATAAGGGACATTTCTTTGAATCAGAAAATTGTTTCATTTTGCCAAAAATAAATTTAAGCCCTAGTTGACCTCCATTTTGCCTTTTCTATCCTTCCTGTAGTTTAATCCTATTCCTTCCATTTTATTATCAATTTTGAAATGAAAATTTAAATTTGTTTTGCTTGATCAAATTATGATATAAATAAAGTAATAAAAATACAAAACAATAAATTATACTTACTTATAAAGTCTACAGCTTCTTGAAATTAACATATTATAATCTACTGCTGCTGAAATCTTTAGTCATCAAACAGTTTAAACACTAGAGTAGTGGTTCTTGACAGAGGGGACTTTGCCCCGATATGGATTGGCTGTGCCCCCATGCAAATCTTATCTTGAATTGTAGCTTCCACAATTCCCACATGTTGTGGGAGGGATCAAGTAGGAGGTAATTGAATCACGGGGAAAGGCTTTTCCCATGCTCTTCTCATGATAACTAATAAGTCTCATGAGACATAATGGTTTTGTAAGGGAGAACCCTTTTCACTTAGTTCCCATTCTCTCTTGCTGCTGCCATGTAAGAAGTACTTTTCGCCTTCCACCATGATTGTGAGGCCTCCCTAGCCACATGGAACTGTGAGTTTATTAAACCTATTTTCTCTCCAGTCTCAGGTATGTCTTTATCAGCAGTGTGAAAATGAACTAATACAGTAAATTGGTACCAGTGGACTGGGGCATTGCTGAAAAGATACCCAAAAATGTGAAAGCAACTTTGGAACTGGCTAACAGGCATAGGTTGAAACTGTTTGGAGGGCTCAGAAGAAGACAGAAAATATAGGAATATTTGGAACTCCCTAGTAAAGACTTTTAAATGGCTTTGAGCAAAATGCTGATAATGATATGGGCAATGAAATCCGGGCTGAGGTGGTCTCAGATGGAGAGGAGGAATTTGTTGGGAACTGGAGCAAAGGTGACTCTTGCTATATTTTAGCAAAGATACTGGCAGCATTTTGCCCCTGACCTAGAGATTTGTGGAACTTTGAACTTGAGAGAGATGATTTAGGGTATTTGGCAGAAGAAATTTCTAAACAGCAAAGCATTCAAGGTGTGACTTGGGTGCTGTTAAAAGTGTTCAGTTTTAAAAGGGAAACAGAGCATAAAAGTTTGACAAATTTGCAGCCTGACAATGTGATAGAAATTAAAATCCCATTTTCTAAGGAGAAATTCAAGTTGGCTGCATAAATTTTCATAATTAATGAGGAGCTGAATGTTAATCACCAAGACAATGGGGGAAATGTCTCCAGGGCATGTCAGAGACCTTTGTGGTAGCTCCTCCCACCACAGGCCCAGAGGCCTAGGAGGAAAAAATGGTTTCATTGGCCGGGACCAGAGTCTCTCTGCTGTGTGCAGTCTAAGGACTGTGTTCCAGTTGCTCCATCCATGACTAAAAGGAGTCAAGGTACAGCTTGGGCCATGGCTTCAGAAAGTGCAAGTTCCAAGCCTTGGCAGCTTCCATGTGGTGTTGAGCCTGCAGGTGCAAAGGAGTCAAGAATTGAGGTTTGGGAACCTCTGCCTAGTTTTCAGAAGATATTATGGAAACATCTGGATGTCCAGGCAGAAGTTTGTTGCAGCAGTGGGGCCCTCATGGAGAACCTCTGCCAGGGCAGTGAAGAAGAGAAATGTAGGGTGGGGACCCCCACAGACTCCCCACTAGTGTGCTGCCTAGTGAAGCTGTAAGAAGAGAGCCACCATCCTCCAGACCCCAGAATGGTAGATCCACTGACAGCTTGCACAATGCACCTGGAAAAGCCACAGACACTCAATACCAGCCCATGAAAGCAGCTGGGAGGGAGGCAGTATCCTCCAAAGCCACAGGGGCAGAGCTGCCTGAGATCACGGGAACCCATCTCTTGCATCAGCATGACCCAGATGTGAGACATGGAATCAAAAGACATCATTTCGGAGCTTTAAAATTTGACTGCCCTGCTGCATTTTGGACTTGCATGGGGCCTGTAGCCCCTTGGTTTTGGCCAATTTCTCCCATTTGTAACAGCTGTATTTACCCAATACATGTACCTACATTGTATCTAGAAAGTAATTAACTTGCTTTTGATTTTATGGGCTCATAGGCAGAGGGGACTTGCCTTGTCTCAGATGAGACATTGGACTGTAAGCTTTTGAATTAATGCTGAAATGGGTTAACAATTTGGGGTTCTACTGGGAAGGCATGATTGGTTTTGAAATGTGAGGACATGAGATTTGCGAGGGGCCAGGGATAGAATGATATGGTTTGGCTGTGTTCCCACACAAATCTCATCTTGAATTGTAGCTCCCACAATTCCAACATGTTGTGGGAGGGACCCAGTGGGGGGTAACTGAATCATGGGGGCACGTATTTCCTGTGCTGCTCTTGTGACAGTAAGTCTTACAAGATATGATGGTTTTATAAGGGGAAACCCCTTTCAGTCAGTTCTCATTCTCTCTTGCTGCTGCCATGTAAGAAGTGCCTGTTTCCTTCTGCCATGATTGTGAGGCCTCCCAAGCCACGTGGAATTGGGAGTCCATTAAACCTATTTTTCTTCCCAATCTCAGGTATATCTTTATCAGCAGTGTGAAAATGGACCAATAGAGCCCCCAAGGGACACTTGTCAATCTCTAGAGACATTTATGGTTGTGGCATCCTGGAGGGATACTACTGGCATCTAGCAGGGACAGTCCTGAAATGCTGCTAAGCGTCTTATAATATATCAGAGCCCACCACACCAAAGAATTATCCAGCCCAAAAGCCAGTAGTCTCAAGACTGGTAAATTATGGTCTAAAGGGACTTTTAATTTTCTAATTGGCTAGCTGGCTAAGTAACAGATATTTTCCTCCAAAACGCTTAAGGAAAATGATTAGCAAATTCCAAGGACTACTGCCACTAAAATGTTGAGTACAATAAAGAATTGCCTGGAAGAATCAGATGATAGAATACTTAGGATCCACTGTAGCTATACAGTGCCAAGAAAGCAAAGACGCAGTTAGACTCATGTTACATCTTAACTTATTCCATTTTGAATAAGTGACTTATCTGACACAGCAAGGGTCAAATGCATCTGAAAAATACACTGTTAAATGCATGAATTATCAGTAAGTTAGCACTTTAAACAAACACACTGATGGTCTGTTGGCTAACATGATATGGTTCTAGTGTGATGTAGGTAAGTGAATTTGGGGCCAGGAGATAGAATCTAGGAGTGTAGTCATGGCTCCATCTCTTGCTGACTGAGTGACTCTAGCTAGGTCATATGGCTTACCTGGGCTTCAGTTTCTGCATCTGATAAACGTGAACGCTTATATATGTCTGTTTTATCTACCTCACTGGTCATTGTGAGAATTCTTTTTTTAAGTACACTTTCTCTTTATTTGAGTATTGATATATTCTCATATTTTTTTATACTCCTCATATATGGTTTTGGAAATAACAATGTATTTGGAAGACCAAGGAAAAGTAGATTCCTCCAGGGAGGAGGCTTCACACCCCCATGTAGAGACATGATTGGGCTCCTATAATTAACTAACTTCTCTCCTCTCATATGTCTCATTAGAGTGTAAAAATAGATTTTTAAAAGTATCATAGACAAGCCACAGACTTGTAGAAAATATTTTCAAAATGCATATCTGATAAAAAATGTGTATCTAAAATGTACAAAGAACTCTTAAAATTCAACAATAAGAAAACAAGCAACCCAGTTAAATAATGTAAAAAAACCTGAACAGACCCCTCACCAAAGAAGGTAAACAGATGCCAAATAAGGATATGAAAAAATGCTCAATATTGTTTGTCAACAGAGAATTGCAACTTAAAATGACAACAAAGTACCACTACATAACTATTGTAATTTTTGAACTGGAACAATTTGAGCAATAAAATAAATAGAATAATATATAATTTTAACTCAAAGTACCAAATAAATATCCATGAGTCCATACTGTTACTAATAGATAATTGAATAAATATTTAAATGGGGGATATGAGACAAATTATGCATAAGAATTCTAAATAATTTGTCTGGATACTCCACCCTCAGGAGGTGGAGCAAAACTTCTCACTCATTAAGTGTGGGCTGCACAAAGTGGCCTCCTTCTAAAGAGTGCACTATGGAAAGAGAAAACCTAACAAACACCACCTTGGCCAAGGTGAACAAGGTCACCATAAATAGTGATTAGTCATGTTGACAGTATGTACCCTTCAGACGATGTGATGATGATGGCACCTTACCTCTGTGGTTCTCCTCCCCAAAAGCCATGACCCCAGTCTAATCATGAGAATAACAACATAAAGATTTCAGTACGGGGCATCCTACTGTACCCCTGATCAGTGCTCTTCCAAACCTGCAAGGTCATACAAAGCAGAAAATGTCCCAGCAACTGCCTCAGCCAGAGGAACCTCAGGAGACTTGACAGCTAAATGTTTCTTGGGATCTTGAATGAGATCCCAGAACAGAAAAGGACACTCAGTGAAAACCACATAAATGTAAGTAAAATATAGGCTTTAAGTAATAAAAATATATCAATATTGGTACATGAATAATAATAAATGCACTAATATAATATATATAATATTGTAAGACGTTAATGATAAACACAGCCGAGGGTGGACGTGAACTCTGTGTACTCTAAGTTCACAATATTTCTGTAGATATGCAAATCTCCTAAAACAAAGTTTATTTTAAAAACAATATTATTATAATGATTGATGAAAAACATTGTGAGAGAGCAGTCGTGGTTTAAACTGTTATTGCACTTTGTGAGCATTTGGTTTTTCTAACAGAAGATGGAACTAGAAGACACACCTTTAGATTTGCTCAGTAGTTTACCCTGGGGCAGCTGGTACCACCCCTCTGTCATTAGCCATTTAGGAAAGCTAGGAGAAAAGTGTCATTGTTTAATTACATGTCAGAGGACAATGAGCGTCACAGAGTGCATGTGGAGTATGTTGGAAAATGTTTCCTTCCACACAGTGAGCCTGATATATCTCTCTAATAAAGGGCAAATGGAGAAGGACTTCCATCCCTGTCACTGAGTATGTACCACCAGGGCTGTCAGCTGTGGACCATCCCCATCACTGAGTATAGGCCACTAGTGTTGTCAGCTGTGGACCATCCCTGTCACTGAGTATGGGCCACCAGGTTTTGTCAGCTGTGGACCATCCCTGTCACTGAGTATGGGCCACCAGGTTTGTCAGCTGTGGACCATTCCTGTCACTGAGTATGGGCCACCAGGGTTGTCATCTGTGAATGGAAACCATTCATCTCTCCAGGACGCTGGAGCCCTAGTGAAGTGAATGTGCTCATATGAAGACTCACACAAGTATAAAATGTTTAGGCTTCTTGGGGATGAGGCTGGCTATGGCCACTGGCTGGAAAACAGGGTGTGTTTTCCTACCATCCTTCCCTCTTTCTCTATTCCATTCATATCAGCCTCAGACTTTCTGAAAAAAAAAAAAAAAAAAAAAAAACCCACAATAAAATTAGTTCTTCATGTAGAGCCCAGAGCAGTTTGGTTTTGTATCCAGGATTCCTGTAAAGATAATATATTTCTCCCCTAAGTTTCACCTTAGAATGTCTCTTCTCGAACCATAGCAATTTCCCTCTCAGCTAAACAGAAGATTTTCCCAACTAGGAAATCACCAGACATGCTGTTTCCAGGATGACTTACTTTGAATGCTCAGTGCATTTGAAACTGAACTCCCATGGATAGGAAAGGGGTATGGAGCCGTCATTACATAGCAAATCTTGAAAACGTCAAGATCATTGAACTAAAAAACTTCAAGGCTGGGTGCAGTGGCTCATGCCTGTAATCCTAGTACTCGGCCAATGCGGGTGGATCCCTTAAGCTCAGGAGTTCGAGATCGGCCTATGCAACATAGTGAGAACCCATCTCTATAAAAGATACAAAAATTAGCTTGGTGTGGTGGCGTGCACCTGTAGTCCCAGCTGCACAAGAAGCTGAGGTGGGAAGATGGCTTGAGCCTAGGAGGTGGAAGTTGCAGTGAGCCGAGATCGCACCACTGCACTCCAGCCTGGGCAACAGAGCCAGGCCTGTCTCAAAATCATTAATAAATAAATACATAAATAAATAAATGAATGAATAACTAATTCTATTCTTTCTTTTCCCCATCCCCACAGATAGCTACATTAATACAAATGACAGATTATAACCATATATAAATATCCCAATTAAAACAAACAAATGACTAAAACAGGTGGCAGTGTTAATTGCCGATCTCTCTGTGGTCCACATTCTGTTTCATTCCTTTAGAACGTCACTACCTACCCCTCGATCTGCAATGCTAGTAAAAGGACTTTCATGTCTGTGCACTTTAAGCGTTTTGGGGATGGCATCACAGGAGCAGAAGAGGCCATGGGAAAAGAAACTTTGAATGCAGGGAGCATACTGAGGTAGTCAGTGTGTTCTGCTGCTTGATCCTGACATCGGGCTATTGAAATTGAAGATGGAAAACCCGTATTGAGTCATTTGGCTCTTTCCCTTGAGGGCAGTAGATTATGCTGGACAGTATTTTATTTAGCACCCTGTCCATTTCTATTTTAACTTGCTCTTCCTTGGAGGCCTATTAACTCAAACCCAGCAAGGATTTTATTACAAATGGAAGGCATTCTACTAGTTGGTCATTTCTTCCACAAAACACACATTCTCCTGCTGAGATATTAAAAAACAAAATTTACCAAACAACATGAAAACAGTGCTGGATTGTAGAAGGAGCAATAAGCGGATTGTCGCAAAGTGGCTCCAGACGCTCACTCTGACTTGCCTGAAACACATGCTCACTGAGAATCCTCAACACTGGGTCCCTGGAAATAGGGACCATGTGACACTAAGCGACCTGTAGCACTGATATCCTCATAGCCCCTTTTCCCCACAGGTCCCACGATACCCAGGTTCTGGGCAGTTAGTGTTCCCAGGCAATTCTCATAAACAGCTACACCACATGCAGACTGCTTGGTACTGAGGAAATCTCATTCAACATCGACAAGTTTGCTTTCAGGCTTGCCCTTTGTAAAAGTCAGAGTGGCCCCAGTGGAATGCAAGTCCATGCTACTGGTCAGAAAAATATCTTGGTCCTCGTGTTTTCTCTATGGCAAAGATGAGAGGATGAGGGACACTGGGCTTTTCTCCTCCCGGGTTCTGTAAGCTTCTGCCTTCCTAAAAAGGCTGATTCCCTAACTCATGCCATTCTCCAACCTGGTGCATGAAAGACAGTGTCCCAGATGGCATCTTCCTTGAACAACGAAGAACGAGGACTTCTGGAGCCAAAAGCTGGGTTAAATATGTGCTCTGATGTTCATTCGCTACAGGAGCCTCGGGTTCCGCATCTGTCAACTAGAAATAACACCCTTGCCTTAGGCAGGGGCTGTGGTAACGTGCTGTGGGTACATAGTGACGGTCAGAACAGTAAAGAAATGCAATCAGTGGTAGCTACTACTGTTGGCATAATTACGAACAGCAGGAGGATGAACAGACACCCCCTGAAAACTTAGGAACATTATTTTTAAATCACATGTAGTGTGAAAAGTACACAGTTTGGTTTGTTATACAGAAACAAGAGGTTTAAATCCATGGAGTAGAAGATAACGATAATGCACTGATTGCTGGTTATGAAAGTCAGGAAGAAAATAACCAAGTTCAGTGCTCATCTTGATCTAAGACCATTCATGGCCTGACCTCTCTAATGCGCAGAGGATAAAACACGGGAGTGCATGATGCTCACCAAGGATCAGTCAGAATTTCTCCAAGGATCAGCTCCCAAATCAACCAAAACTTCTCCAAGGTTCAGCTCCCAAATCAACCAGAACTTCTCTAAGGATCAGCTCCCAAATCAACCAGAACTTCTCCAAGGTTCAGCTCCCAAATCAACCAGAACTTCTCCAGGGATCAGCTCCCAAATCAACCAGAAATTTTCCAAGGATCAGCTCCCAAATTAGCCAGAACTTCTCCAGGGATCAGCCCCCAAATCAACCAAAACTTCTCCAAGGATCAGCCCCAAATCAACCAAAATTTCTCCAAGGATCAGCTCCCGAATCAACCAAAACTTCTCCAAGGATCAGCCACCAAATCAACCAGAACTTCTCCAAGGTTCAGCTCCCAAATCAACCAGAACTTCTCCAAGGATCAGCCCCCAAATCAGCCAGAACTTCTCCAGGGATCAGCCCCCAAATCAGTCAGAACTTCTCCAAGGATCAGCTTCCAAATCAACCAGAACTTCTCCAAGGATCAGCTCCCAAATCAACCAGAACTTCTCCAAGGTTCAGCTTCCAAATCAACCAGAACTTCTCCAAGGATCAGCCCCCAAATCAGCCAGAACTTCTCCAGGGATCAGCCCCCAAATCACCCAGAACTTCTCCAAGGATCAGCTCCCAAATTAGTCAGAACTTCTCCAAGGATCAGCTTCCAAATCAACCACAACTTCTTCAGGGATCAGCCCCCAAATCAGCCAGAACTTCTCCAAGGATCAGCTACCAAATCAGTCAGAACTTCTCCAGGGATCAGCTCCCAAATCAGCCAGAACTTCTCCAAGGATCAGCTCCCAAATCAACCAGAACTTCTCCAAGGATCAGCTCCCAAATCAACCAGAACTTCTCCATGCATCGGCTCCCAAATTAATCAGAACTTCTCCAAGGATCAGCCCCCAAATCAACCAGAACTTCTCCAGGGATCAGCCCCCAAATCAGCCAGCACTTCTCCAGGGATCAGCTCCCAAATCAACCAGAACTTCTCCAAGGATTAGCTCCCAAATCAACCAGAACTTCTCCAAGATTCAGCTCCCAAATCAGTCAGAACTTCTCCGAGAATCAGCTCCCAAATCAACCAGAACTTCTCCAAGATTCAGCTCCCAAATCAGTCAGAACTTCTCCAAGGATCAGCTCCCAAATCAGTCAGAACTTCTCCAAGGATGAGCCCCCAAATCAACCAGAACTTCTCCAAGGTTCAGCTCCCACATCAGTCAGAACTTCTCCAAGGTTCAGCCCCCAAGTCACCCGGAACTTCTCCAAGTTTCAGCTCCCAAATCAGTCAGAACTTCTCCAAGGATCAGCCCCCAAATCAACCAGAACTTCTCCAAGTTTCAGCTCCCAAATCAGTCAGAACTTCTCCAAGGATCAGCCCCCAAATCAACCAGAACTTCTCCAAGGATCAGCTCCCAAATCAACCAGAACTTCTCCAAGTTTCAGCTCCCAAATCAGTCAGAACTTCTCCAAGGATCAGCCCCCAAATCACCTGGAACTTCTCCAAGGATCAGCCCCCAAATCAACCAGAACTTCTCCAAGGTTCAGCTCCCAAATCAGCCAGAACTTCCCCAAGGTTCAGCCCCCAATTCACCCAGAACTTCTCCAATGATCAGCCCCCAAATCAACCAGAACTTCTCCAAGGTTCAGCTCCCAAATCAACCAGAACTTCTCCAAGGTTCAGCTCCCACATCAGTCAGAACTTCTCCAAGGTTCAGCCCCCAAGTCACCCGGAACTTCTCCAAGGATCAGCCCCCAAATCAACCAGAACTTCTCCAAGTTTCAGCTCCCAAATCAGTCAGAACTTCTCCAAGGATCAGCCCCCAAATCACCCGGAACTTCTCCAAGGATCAGCCCCCAAGTCAACCAGAACTTCTCCAAGGTTCAGCTCCCAAATCAGCCAGAACTTCCCCAAGGTTCAGCCCCCAAATCACCCAGAACTTCTCCAATGATCAGCCCCCAAATCAACCAGAACTTCTCCAAGTTTCAGCTCCCAAATCAACCAGAACTTCTCCAAGGATCAGCTCCCAAATCAACCAGAACTTCTCCAAGGATCAGCTCGCAAATCAGCCAGAACTTCTCCAAGGATCAGCTCCCAAGTCAGCCAGAACTTCTCCAAGGATCAGCCCCCAAATCAGCCAGAACTTCTCCAAGGTTCAGCTCCCAAATCATTCAGAACTTCTCCAAGGATCAGCTCCCAAATCAACCAGACCTTCTCCAGGGATCAGTTCCCAAATCAGCCAGAAATTCTCCAGGGATCAGCTCCCAAATCAGCCAGAACTTCTCCCAGGGTGGGAGATCTTTTGATCTCATGCAGTCCCTTCATAGTGCTCAGCATTTTACCCAGAAAAGCATCAGTCACCCGTAAAGGCTAAGTTTTAAACACTGTAAAACCAGAAAATGTTATATACACGACTGTGTGAGGCGTGAACGTGGGGAAGTGAGTGTGAAAGTGCATGAATGTGAGCATTCAAGAAGGCATGAGTGTGCGAGGGAACCCCACCAACAAAGCAAGCAAGAGGACCTGGCCTCTTTCTATTTGCGACAACCCTTAATGGGGCTCAGAGATTTCCCACTGCGTTCCTTACCCTCTTAGTGCTGCACACCGGCCTCTACAAAGCCATAAGCAAGGAAAAGAAATAGAGGATCGTGAGTTTAAACAGTTCAGAATAAATTGGTATTGGGTGTTAAGGGCTTAAATTCCACTATCTATGTTTACCGTATCTTAAGTTGAATCAAAACAAAATCCAACAACACAATGTTACAAGATGTTGCTGCCTAGAAACAACCGAAAGCTGGATTAGAGGGTCATAAATTAAGGATTGGGTACATTGTAACTAATTAAATACATACAAAAGAAAAGCAGATTTGGTAATATCATTTCAGGCTATGTAGTATTTAAAGTCTCTTATTGAGTTAAAAGAGCATCGTATTATTTTAAATTGGTAAGCTAATAATAAAGATATGACATGAATAAACTTTAATATACCAAATAAAAAAGCCCAAAAGTATATATATATAAAACAAAAAACAGACAGACGTATGGCTGCAGCTGATAAATTTTTAACTCACCATTATCAACATACAGCAGATACCATATTCAAAAATGAAACAAAATAAGAACTGAAAAAAATAAGTAATAAAATTAATGTGGTGGAACTAATAGAATATGCCAAACTTTTTATCTGAAAGTTAGAAATCTCATCCTCTTTCATACCTTCTGTCCATATACAATCACCAACTGTGAAAACAAAATTATCATCCTATTTCCAGAAATTATTAAGACAAAAAGCTGATAAAAATATTTAGCCAAACGAAGCATTAGAATACCAAATTATAGGGATGTGCGTGATGACTTAACTGTTTCTTGCACGTTTTGCTGGGCGCTGTAATTCAGATAGTTTGTGTTTTAACTTTTACAATCTTCTAGTCTGCAATAATAATTTTATAGTTTGCTGTGGAACTGCACCAAATCCATAAAATCTGCAAAAGTCCTCAAAATTCCACATATGTGGGTTGTCATTGGCCCTAATAATTGTGCTCCAAGTTTTGCACTAAATTCTTCCACAAATTAGAAATGAAAACACCATGTGTTTCAGAGGAATGAATGAAAAACACCTACCAGGACACGGCTGAGCTAACACTCAGCACCTTCCAAAATTCTGCACTTGAGTCTTTTGTAAACAACCCTGCCTTTCAGTTCCTCAGTCAACACATTAAATACACATCCTTTTCAGAAATTATTGTCTATATAGCTTATGAATCTAAAACCAGAACCATTTCACCAGGTTGGTGGGGATCTTTTCCATGTTTGCTGTGAATGGCAAAACCACATAACTCAATGGAACCACAGATGTGCAAATCTGGGTGGACAGCAGGGATGGCAGCCACCCTCAGTATGCAGATAGAGACCATGAAACTAATGTGGCTGTTAACTTGTCCCAGAAAGCAAACTCAAGGGGTTAGCAGCTGTTTTTGTTTCCTCTCTTTCTCTCTCTTCTTTTGTTGCTGACATTTGAAACATATATCTCACCATTGCTGACACCATCCCCCTCACCCCCACCAGTAGGAGTCAGTTCATTGCATGGACTGAGAGAGAGACATCTTGCCACCGGTTTCTTCTCTATCCAGATGTGATTTTTGCAGAGTAGCAGAGCACCGGAAGCTGGCTTCACCATAAAGGCTACTCTGCAGACTATTATCTTCCAGCATACATGAGGGATAGCATATGGTATGAGGGTGGGCGTTCTAATGAGACAAATCAAAGACACCAATGGTTCACAGACTTCTCTAGGAGCAAAGTATTGCCCTATAGGACACAAAGGAATTGATTTAAGAAACCCTTCAGAAAACTGGTATTGCTTTTATTTTCACTACAAAATAAATATTGAAGTAAATACAAAAAGATGTTCTCCATAATGATGTATGAGAACCTGCATGAAGTCAAGCCTGCATTCTGTGGCCACCACAAATTCAAGGCAAGCAGGACGCCACAAACTTCACCCTCCCACTCCCAAGTTTCTGCCAAATTAAGCCCCAAAGTTTAGGGACAGAAAGCAAAATATCCTAGATTCCTGTAACTCCTGGTTTGTTTTTTTTTTTTTTTTTTTTTTTGAGACGGAGTCTTGCTCTCTTGCTCTCTCACCAGGCTGGAGTGCAGTCGCGTGACAGCAACCTCCACCTCCCAGGTTCAAGCTATTCTCCCGCCTCAGCCTCCTGAGTAGCTGGGACTACAGGCATGTGCCACCATGCCTGGCTAATTTTTGTATTTTTAGTAGAGACAGGGTTTCACCATGTTGGCCAGGATGGTCTCAATGTCTTGACCTCATGATCCACCCACCTTGGCCTCCCAAAGTGCTGGGATTACAGGTGTGAACCACTGTGCCCAGCCCCTTTAACTCATTTTGAAATGATTCTCACATAACATATTCACATCAATATTTTCATAACCTAAGAAATTTCCATTGACCTAGTTTCCTTAATTAACTTGTGAGAAAAATTCTTATCATTGGATTTCTTTTAATTTTCAAAATATATAAATTGATGTGCAGATCGATACAAAATAACAATTTATGCTTGTTATAAACCCATCTCTGCTCAGAGTCCTGGAAAGGACATCACAGTGGAAGGCCAAGTGGGCTGCAGGTGGCAGACACAGTTCCTCAGCCTGGACGTCACAGTGGAAGGCCAAGTGGGCTGCAGGCAGTGGACAGAGTTCCTCAGCCTGGTCAGTTGCTCCTGGGATGGTGGGTGAGTCAGAACATGTGTCTTTATTTGTCAAGTGGGGGTTAAGCCAGGCATTGTCTAAGGTGCCTCACAGAGTTAATATTCTTTGCTGTGAACTTGCTGCCAAATAGTTCATAGGACAGTTTTTATGTTCAGCCAATGGGTAGAAATGTAGCCCAAAGACCTACAACATGGGGCAGGGAATCAGGGCAGGGGACCAGGGCAGGGATCCAGGGCAGGGAACCTGCTCTCCCTTGCTGATGGTCTTCACTGTCCTCCTCTCCTTCCTCCCACGTGTCGGGATCAGTGATGAAGTGGAGGCACCTTTCAGAGAATGTATCCAGGATCTCCTTCTCCTCTCCTTCAAAAAACAGAAAGCTCGATGTTGTCTTTTATCACATCTGGTATTTGAAAATTTATGTTCTGATGAGGCACTGTGCGCAGAAGCAGAACCCGCTGCATCCAATGGTATGCTGCTATGCTGACCTCGAAGTCACTCGCCTTGGACACAGGCCGTTAACTTGACATGGTGATTTATTCGCCAATAAGCACATCTCCCATATCACAGATCAGCGAGTGGAGTGTGCTGCAAATGGTGTGGTGGCCTTGAACCCCTGAGATATCCTAGAGACATGATGGATGGGCTGGCCTGGCCTGTTGTGACTGTGGTGAAGGCAAGGGAGGCAGGGGTCTGCACCTGCCCCTGGTACAACCTGCTGCCCCACAAGCACCCAAAGCCTGCTGCCGGCATCGTCTTCCTTTGCTCTGAATCTTAGTTGTTAAGCTTTCCCCCAGAGTAACAGGAGAGTTGCAGCCTGCGGGAAAAGGACAAGATGTGAATTCTGTTTCAGGAATTTGGCCTTAAAAACAATGATGCTTATTTGTGTAGCCCAAGAGAGGAGCTCATTGAACATAAGTCAGATGCCAGGGCTGATGTGGCCTCAGATAGTAATTCTTACCTCACTGCTGTTTCAGGCAGCCAGTTCTTACATTTGCATCCATTAGTGGGAAGAGCGTCTCATCTTTCATAGAAAAGGTCGAGTGACAGCACACAGTCAACCAGGCATTGCCTCAAGAGCTGTGAGACGGTGCTCTAGGGGCACTGAGCCTCGGTGACCTGCCTGGGAGCCTCATGTAGTCCTGGAAAATCACCAGCTCTGCAAATCTCAACCCAAACAGGAAACTCTCTGCCCCGAAGTAGCACAGACATAACTCTCGATACATACGTCGATTTATCTCCACATTATTATTATTATTTAATTTTTTGTAATACAGCCTTGTTTTGACTTACAACTCCCAGAGACATCCTTTCAAGGTAATATAATTCTAGCTTTATTGCAGTTCAGATGAACATTCTTTTTTAAAGCTAAAATAATGTAAGTTGTATCAAGTACTAACACCATTCTTAGGGCTGACATGAATAATCAGATTTTCATTTTGTCCTACAATTTCATACATCCCTAGTCCATGCAAACACTTTAAAGCAACCATTTTCTAGACATAAATGTGCTGCTATATGATGATGAGACTCTGCATGATTTCTGTCTTATTCTTTATGCTTTTCTGTATTTTCCCAGTTTTCTAAAATATTAACAAAATTTGTTGTTAAAATTGTAACAACCTTTTGAAAGAACATGCATTTAAAAACAAAATTATAAATGGGACATTTATAATTATGTGGTACATTGTGATAAAGATGGTAGGCTCAGCTGGCCCTGTGTTTCTATGTTGTACATTCGAAGCACTCACAAGGTGCCCAGAGCGTCGCAAGGGCTCTGAGGCCCCTCAGACAGCAGCCAAGTAAGAAAGTTTAATTCACTAATTACAGTAGGAAAAGCTGAATTACAGAACAAGTGATGATCTGCCTGAGATGCTCATGTAATAACCTAGAACATTCCTGGGGAAAGCTGGGCCTGACTCCCACTATTCTGCTCTCTCCACACATTCCTCCAAGACCTTCTACAGACCCTTTGAGAGCGTGGAAGTTTGGAGTGTGAAGCCACGCTGAAGACGCCTTAACGTCCCAACAGTTTTGCTTCTTAATAAATTGAAGACTTACTTCAACATAATCATGCAACCAACTGAAAGACTTTTAAAAAGTTTTTTACAAAAAGAATTACTACATTTATCCTCGAGACACCAAACAAGAGCCTAACTAACATTTTCATTGAATTGGCGATTGGCTTGAGTTGTTTCCAAATTGACTTTATTTGTCCTTTGGAATCACATAGACACAACCTTAATCTAAAAGTCATTAGCAACTAAATTTAAGATTATTGACTTAGCTGCATAGAAAACCAAAAACTTGACATCCTGATGGAAAAGTTGCATTCAATTTTATAAGAAGAGCTAATATTTAAGGAGAACTTAGTATATGCCAGTGGTATTCCAAGCACCATACCCGTATTAACTTAATTCCTGTAACAACCCTAGGAAGAAGGCTACATTATTATTCTAATCTTAAAGAGGAATAAACTGAGATACCGAGCCATTGAATAACAGTGAATAAGTAAAGAAGCAAAGGATTGATCAGAGGTAATCTCACCTGGATCCTCTTACCCACTGAGCTAGGACTGCATTCTCACCCCACAAATGGTGATGTGGTCAGGGCTACATAGTGGAGTGATCTAGACCACAGGCCTGGTGTCAAACACACTCAGGTTTTCATGCTCAGCCTGCCACTTACTAGCTGAGTATACTTAGGCAAAGCACTTTATTAAATATATCATTTTGCCTCAGTTTTCTTAATCTAGTCCCTAACTTGCATGATTGTCATAAGGCTTAAATTAGAGAATGTTTACAAGTTGGTTAGCTAGTGTCATAACATACTAAGGCTCCTTTAAATGGTACCTACTAGGATTATATCAACTTTCTAACATCTATTTTATCCTCCACAATAGTAGGATGCATTTAGAATGTTTGCAGTCACATGAGAAATTTATAAGGAGGAAGGCAGACAGCCTTATTTCAGAACTGAACAAGACTCAGAAGCCAACGTTTAGCTGTGTTTAGAAAGTTTTGCAGATCTCAAGTGAGTAGCACTTTCATCTAGTGATTCTTTTATTCAAGATCATAGGAAATATCCATTTGGAGCCTTTAAAACTCTTTTATGCCGCGAAAATGCAGACACACAAACAACGCACTATGGGTAATCCTGGCCTCAAGAGATCTGTGAACAAAATAAAGCAACAAAGAACTGGCACAGAGCACTGTGCTGGCTCCGTTCATTTCCACACTGCTCTTGGAGCTGGGAGTGGAAAGGAGCAGGTAATTTCTTCCATGGGAGCAGCCAATGCATATTATTCTGGTGAAAGTACTTAAATACACAGAATAGAGACAGAATATGAAAAAGAGCAAACTGCTTTAAGGAAAAAAATTCACTCCTAAGGGAAAAGAATCATCTAGTTTTGTTTTATACCTGCAGAACAGAGATCAATGCTGAGACCTCGGTGTCTAGCACACAGCCCAGTATGTAACAGGTAAGAAAGTCAATTAACATTTCCTAGATGATTGATAGAAAAACACCTGAAAACTTTCTACCCAACAACCAAAACCATCTTCCAGGAAAGACACCTATTTGCCTGGATTCAGTCCTGAACATATGTACCACCCAACTGTAGTCACAAAGAGGAATTCTGTTTATAGAAAACTATTGTTAATATTTTTAAACCATTTGCTACATTACTATATTTTAAAAGCTTAAAATTTCACAGAGAAAAATAATTTTACCTTTTGGAATTACTACATTTTGGAATTACAAAATTTTGCCGAAAAATTCTTAAGACAGCTGAGTCTGCAGGGTTGAAAGACCAGCGGAGATGATGGTTACAAAGTATGCCAGATGGCTTTTGTCCCATAACACACCATCTTAAACTTGGTCGTTGCAAGGGGCGATTTTGTGCCAACTTGGCTAGGCCATGAACCCAGATATTAGGTCAAACACTCAGTGTAAATATTGCTGTGAAGGTATTTGTTAGATGAGATTAACATTGAAATCAGTGGATATTTAGTGAAGAGGGTTACCCCCATAATGTGAGTGGACTTCACCTAAATGGTTGAAGGCCTTAAGAGAAAGAAAGACAGAGGTCCCGGAGGGAAAGGGAATCCTGCCTCCAGGTGGTCTCTGGGCTCCAGATTCAGCATCATCTCTTCTCTTTTCTTCATCTCTTCTCTGGCTCTCCAGCCTGCAGCCTGCCAGTCCCCACAATCGTGTGGGCCAATTCATTATAATACATCTCTCCCTCTCATGTATCGTATCTTACTTCTTTCTCCGGAGAACCCCGACGACCATAATGGCTTATACAACAACCTTTATTTCACTTACAATTTCCGGGCTCGCAGTTTGAGCTGTCTTCACTGGGGCAGGCCTGATCTTCTGGGCCGGACTCAGCTGATCTGGACTGGGCTCATTTGTGCAATTTGAGCTGGCTTCATTGGGGCAGGCCTGATCTTCTGGGCCAGACTCAGCTGATCTGGACTGGGCTCATTCACACATCTGTAACTGTCATTTGTTAGTCAAACATTTAAACGATTTGCAAAAATGTGAAACAATTTCCCTTTTCTCACCAATTTTTGAGGGGTTTGGAAAATATAATTATTTTTCATAAAATGTTATTTACATTAAAATGTGTTGGTCTTAATATTATTTTAAATGAGTTGATAAATATTTTTTTACATTTCCCATTTTGGTATTCAATAAAGTAAATATAGATAGACATGACCCATGTGAATAAAAGCTGTTAAGTGTCCTCAATAATTTGAACTGTGTAAAGGGGTCCTAAGAATGAAAAGTTTGTGAATCACTGCTCAATACATGTCATCTGGAAGCAGCTAGTGTAGGATCCAGCCTAAATCTCCACGGCGTGAGGAAAGCCATGGCCATCCGGGCCTCCTTTAGCAGTGATCAATGTCATCCATTACGTAAAACCTATTGAGGGTTTGCTATGTGCCAGAAAGGCGAGGTTTGCTGTGTATGCAGGAGCCAGGTCATGGGAAGATTTGCAAACTTCACTAGGGCTTCAGCTTCACTTAGAAAGAAAAAAAAGTGACTGAAGTATTTTAACGAAGAGAATGATGTGTCTCGATTTATATTTTAGGAAGGTGATTACGAGGCTGTGTCTTTGATGGAATGAAGCCAATAAGGCTGCAGCCAAGAAGATCAGTTGGAGCTTTTAGCTGAAATCCAGGTGAGAAGAGATTAAGGCCTCCTAAATTAAGGCAGGAACAGAAGGAAAAGAAAGAAGAGCTTCCAGGAGCGATAAATGAGATAGATCTACTACACTGGGTGACTAAATGGGCACAAAAAAATGAACGGCATTTCCTTTCTCCAAAGGCAATTTTCCTCAAATTATTGACATTATCCGAAAGACATAAACAGGTATTTTTCAAAGGAAGATATACAAATAATCAATGAACATACTAAAATGTGTTCAGAAATCACTAGAATAAAAAAATGCAAGTATAAGCAATAAAATAAATTGTCTTTAACCAAATGGCAGTTTTTTTTTTAGCAACACCTGTTTTCAAAGATAGGAAAAGAGATATGCAAACATGTTTGACAGAAAACTGAATCAGTACAACCATTCTGAAAAGCATTTTAGAAGAATGTTTCAGGACTCTTCTAGGAATTTATCTTAAGAGAACACAGTTCATGTCATTTACCACGTTCTAATATACTATCTAACGGGCTTCTCTATGTTTACTGTAAGTCTCACCTACTGGAATATAAATACTGCAAGAACAAAGATGGAATCCCAAGCACATAGAAGAGTGCACAACACGCTGTAAGTGCTTCCTAACCCCACTGTAAGTGCTTCCTAACCCCACTGTAAGTGCTTCCTAAACCCCACTGTAAGCGTTTCCTAACCGCTTCCTAAATAAATAAAAGATGTAAGTACTTCCTAACCCCTTTCTAAATAAATAAAAGATGTCCACTAGGATTTACTTACCAAAGTGGTCACTATAGCATTACTTACAATGGCTAAACTGGATAAATCTAAATGTTCATCAACGGGATACTGGTTAACAAAATAATGATGCCACTGCCATAGGAGGCAAAATCACATAATCATTAGAAAGCAAGTCATTAAGGATGTTTAAGGCTATGAGAAAACATTCCCAATTTATTAATTGGGTAGAGAAGAATTAAAAAGTGTATATAGAGTAACATAGTAACCGTATTCAGAAATAGTAATAACACTAAAATGTTAACCATGATTACCTCTGGCTAGTGTGTTTATAGTCATTTTTATTTTCTTTTCTATGCTTTCCATATTTTCTATAACCAGGTAAATAAAATTTTGAACCATCCCCATATGCCACAAAACTCCCTGAGTATATTTTATCACACAGCATGGTGTAATAATAATGTTTACAATAATAACATACAGTTATTTTAAAAATATTACATTGTATTCAATATCCTCAATTTATAAAGAAGGAAAATCTCTGTGGTGGAAACATGGGTTTGATTAATCTCTATTTTTCCGTGTTCTTATTTCTAAATTCAGGAAGTGGGCAATGAACTCTTTAATGCTTTCCATCCTGGCAAGTTAAAATTTTAAAATGTTGAAGTTCTCTAAAGGTAACCTTCAATTACTTGTAAAAGTCATGTTTATGAAATACCTAGGTCTCCAATATTGCTGGTTAAATGAAACATTATTGCACATATTACAGAGGAAAAGGTATTTGTTTGACCTTTCGCAGTTTCAACACTGCAATTTAATATTGTATTTCACATACCATTCCAGCTGATCATATATTTTTAAAAATCGCAGTATTTTGAAAAGTCTATCCTGCATTAGTATCCATTTATTGCATCAATTAGCATCAATGCATTATACGCAATACCTGAAAGTTTTATAAATATTTTAATAGTCTTACAACAGGGTTCCAAAATACATTATGAGAGAAAGAGGCTGGGAGTTTGCATGGCTGGCTCAGGCTTGCATAAGGGAGCATGCCCACACTGACACATCCAATGAAAGAAACCGCAGTGCCAAAACCACAAGGCAGGCTCATAACGGTCTGACTGCATGCTGAACTACGTGTTTCTTCATCAATACACTCTGCTGACTAGCTTTTTGTTAAGTTCATGAGAAGTGACAACATTTAATCCTACCATTTCGAGGAAGAGAAGCCATGTCTACCCGTTGATCTTTTAGTTGTCATGAAGGAAATTGAACTTCAGAGCTTCCATCTTGCCTTCATCATGGCTCTTACCACACAGATGCACCTGTGTGAGATGTCTTGAGCCGCAGAGACCAAGACATGCTCAGAATTCAGCCAGAAGCTGACATTATAAACGGCAGTAGACTCAGTCGCTTGATACAGTTGTTAAATTCAGATTTTGACCATCTGGTTCTTTTATTTTACCAGTCTGCGTGTGCTTAAGATATTATTCTACTATTAAATTGAAGGAATACCAGGTTCACAATAAATAATCCAAATAAATTTGTCCATAATGTGTATATTTGGCTCTGTCTGCTGAGCATAGTACTTTGGCCCCGCTGATGCATCATCCAGGCATGTTTTTTGAATGTATTTTCTCCCCGTTTTCCCAGGCATCATGTTGTTCGCTAGCTCAAGGTGCATACCTTATTCTTTTGGTAAGATAATTACAAAGAACCAGTCCTAACTCCTATTTCTGCATGTATGATGACCTACATAGGCAGATTGAAAGTAAAGGTAGACATGGAATACCATGTTTTTAAATCTTTCAAAAATGCATTGATACTCTGGCAAGAAAGTAAGAAATATTAAGAATTATGAATCTAAATCAAGCCAGAAACCTGAAAAGGTAAGCAGAGCACTAAACCTATTTGTCATCATTGGGCATGTGGGAACTTGAGGAGTTTCAGCAACAACTTTTGTGGTCTGATGGGTGGGTGGTGACAAACAAAGACAAAAGCTCAGGCCAGCCCATTAGCCCACCCAGCTCTTCAAAAAGTGGGAAGCCTGAGGTCAGAGCAAAGATTAATCATTGTTTTCTTTCTTTTTTAAAAAAAGTTTAGAGTCAGGGTCACCCTGTTGCCCAGGCTGGAGTGCAGTGGTGCGATCACATCTTACTGCAGCCTCAAACTCCTGGGATCAAGCGATCCTACTGCCTCAGCCTCCTGAGTATCTGGGACTACGGGCACACACCACAACTGCCTATTTTTATGTATTTAGATAAGGGGTCTCAAACTCCTGGCCTCAAGCAATTCTTCGATCTTAGCCCCCTGAATAGCTGGCATTACAGGCATGAGCCACCAGGCCCAGCCATCCAAAAAAAAAGGTACCCACATTTGCTATTTAGAACATTCCAGAGGCCAAATGAAAGGAGACATCTCAACTCTGCTCCCAGGAAGCTAGGGCAGAGGCTTGACCAATCAGAGCTCTGGCCAGCTGTAGAACCTTGGCCAATCAGAGCACTGGCCAGCTCTAGGATCTTGGACAATCAGAGCTCTGGCCAGCTCTAGGATCTTGGCCAATCAGAGCTCTGGCCAGCTCTAGGATCTTGGCCAATCAGTGCTCTGGCCAGCTGTAGGATCTTGGCCAATCAGAGCTCTGGCCAGCTCTAGGATCTTGGCCAATCAGTGCTCTGGCCAGCTCTAGGATCTTGGCCAATCAGAGCTCTGGCCAGCTCTAGGATCTTGGCCAATCAGAGCTCTCGCCAGCTCTAGGCTCTTTGCCAATCAGAGCTCTAGCCAGTTCTAGGATCTTGAGAAAGCAATGCCAAGCTCTGAGGAAAGTAGCGACTGTGTAAAGTCCATGCAGCAGTGGAGTTAAAGCACAGCAGGATCAGGCCAGCGATTGTCCACTAGCAGTGGTGCTAACCATGCGTTCTCAGCTGCCTAATTTCACTTAGTTTCCACACATTTTTTGAGTATGGATCTCCAGACGCGTGATTGATTCTTCCAAATATAGTTCTAATAAATATTGCTTCTTCTGAATTTCTTACTTAAATTAGCCAGACTTTATTTCTGTTGTTTGCAACTGAGCACCTCGCTGATACAGTCTTCCCCCAAACTCTGAAATCTTCCATAACCAAGCCAAAGAATTCCATCGGGGGAGACGTCACCCAGGGAAGCTTAAATCTAAATAAAAGATAATAATCTGGAAGAAAGCTTTCTCACAATTACAGCTGTTATGCACCAGGGACCTATCCAGGGTCCTGACCTTCCTTACAACTCATGGTCTCGAAAGCCTTGTGCTCCTCCACCTCCTGTCACGTATCTTCTTAAATCCTCATCCACACGACTGTGACTCATGACCACTGCAATAACTCATCTTAAACCTTCATGGTCCACTCATACCCTGAGTAATTCACACCAGGAAGAATTATCATGCTCATTTTCCAAATCATAAAGCCAAAATTACTTTAGTGGGTTGACAGTTGACAATGAAGAATGCATCCTAGGAGTTCACAATTAACTTTGTGAAACTGGTAATTTGTTTCACTTTTTTGTCATAGTAGTATCCTCATTCTTTTTTAAAATAAATATATATTAAGCACGTACAGTGATCCCAGCACATTGCTAGGTGCTCTAATTGGCCTGAAGAAGTGGTCCTTGCATCAGGCGGTTCTGTAGTAGAACAAAGGTCTTAATTTGAGATCTAATTGATCCAGTTAATATGTGTGAGTTCAGACAACTCCCTTAATGCTTTAAGGCTCAGCTTCCTCATCTATAAATTAGCGTGATACTCATCTTCCCTGTCTGCCTAAGGGTTGTTGTAAAGATCAAATAATGATTGTTGCCAGTAAAATCATAAAATGTTCTTCCAAGCACTTGGAAGGAAGAAACTTAAGATTACTCTTGAATAATTAGATTGTGAAATCAAGACATAAAGACTCAGAACCAAGCTAGGTAATGTCTCCTTAAGAAAACAGAATGAATTGCACCCAGATCAGCAAAAATGAACAATAATCTCATTAATCACATGAAAAGACCTAATAATTGGATGTGCCAATAGTAAAATGGATTGTCAAAAAGTAAAAATAAAAAAGTCAGAAATGCAAACATTGGAAGAATTCTAGAGAGCTTTAGCTGAATGGCTTCAATAGAATGGTGACCTTAGTAAGGCCATCTGCATTACAGAGATGAAAACTTAGTAATGTTTTTAGCCTTATCTTTGCAAAGCAATCACCTAGAAATTTTTAGACTTCTAAAAAGTTCTGTCTACAGTGTGATGTTCAAATGGAAATTTTGCCAATGTGAGCATTGTGGGTTCACACTGGAAAATCTGTAATTTAAAATTAGTCTTGTAAGCTCAGCTTCTTTGAGCCCAATACTGAGAATGATTTTTTAACAAAATCAGATTTCTGAGCCTACGAGATTGAGAGGAAGACTTAGGAGAGGAAGACTTAGGCAAGGAAGACTTAGGAAAAGAAGCCAACACTCTAAGTCTGACATTTCAGGGCCAACTAATTCCTTATGTGACAACTCTTTTCTTTTGCACACTGAACCTAAACTTGACTTTTTTTTCTTTTGAGACAGGGTCCCACTCTGTCATCCAGGCTGGAGGTCACTGGGGTGGGGCAATCACAGCTCACTGCAGCCTTGATCTCCCAGGCTCAAGTGATCATCCCATCTCAGCCTCCTGAGTAGCTGGGACAATAGCTGAGCTTGACTTTTAAGAGTAGTTAATATTTGGATAAAAGGAGAACATGATAAGTGCAAAGTTATGTCATTGGTAAGCAAATGGAGATAAGAATCTGCTCAATGCATACAAGATTCAAAGAACAGACAACTCTGGCTTTTGCAAAGGAGTCAAAATGATGGAACTAGAAAGTCAGGGTGAGACCAAGTTCTGGAACACCTTAAATAGCAAGAGAAGGTGTTTGAAGTTAATTCAGTAGGTAATAAAAGTGACTGAAAGTTTTAAGCAAAGAATATCGTAATGTAATGGGTCTGGAGAGGTTATTAATATGGCACTGATGGGCAGGAGATGAGAATAACTCAAGGACAAAAGGCCAGTGAAGACATTACTGGAAAAAATCCAGCTGCAAACTTACTTAGGATTTGACTGGGCGTGTTTGTTATTTCTGACCAGTGCCCCATTTTTCCTATGGGAAGAATGCTTTCCTTTATGTGGACACTGCTTCTTCTCACTCTCCAACTGCATCTCCAACCCCATCCCTAGCTTCTGCTCATTGGTCAAAGATTAGACTCATGATCTCCACCAATGCCATCAAAGTCCTCCAGTGAGATTTTTCCATTGATTCCTGTCTAAAAGTGAAGCCAGTCACCTTCTAGTCATACTTGAATGGTGCAGCTTAATTGTATGGAAAACTTATTCCAATACTATTGCAAAATGCTAGTCGCCTACTTTAGGAGCTGTTGTTGCTCCACTAGCTGCTTCGTTCTGCACATCATCCTACAATTTCCTTCTCTTCTCCTCATCCCAATCCAAGGACTCCCAATTATTTCCAATTCTCAACTAGCAGGTCACAACTTGCAACTTTTTATCCATGCTCATTTGAGACATTTTAGTTCAAAACATTGTTTTTCAATTTTATTGTTTTTCAGATGGAGTCTTGTTCTGTTGCCCAGCCTGGAGTGCAGTGGTGCGATCTCGACTCACTGCAGCCTCGGCTTCCCGGGTTCAAGTGATTCTCCTGCCTCAGCCTCCTGAGTAGCTGGGACTACAGCCGCCCACCACCACACCTAGCTAATTTTTGTATTTTTAGTAGAGATGGGGTTTCACCATGTTGGCCAGGCTGGTCTCGAACTCCTGAGCTCGTGATCCACCTGTCTCAGCCTCCCAAAGTGCTGGAATTACAAGCATGAGCCACCATGCCTGGCCTGTTTTTGAATTTTAATTAAGTCTGATACAAATTAATATTCTATTCTAAAATCTCATCAGTGGCAAAATAGTCTAATTACTATACCAAAGGAAAGTGATGAATTAGAATAAGCTTGTTATTAATGCCTTCAAATTCCTTCCTTTTAATTTTCATATTTCTTACTTATTCCCTGCTGCACCTGCAGTCACAGCCATCTTCCTTAATGTTTGTTTTATGTAATAATAGAAAGCTGTTTTCAGCTACTGGGGAGGCAGAGGCCAGGAGATCGCCTGAGCCCAGGAGTTTGAGACTGCAGTGAGCTACAATCACACCACTGCATTCCTGCCTGGGCGACAAAGCAAGATCCTGTCTCTAAAAAGAATTATAAATAAATAAATAAATGTGAGAAAGCTGTTTTAGCAAAACTTCTCTCTCCAACTACATTTGGAGAAGTACGTGCATAGAGGTATTCCCAGGACTTCAATATTCTCAATGCCAGCATTCTCCACAGGCAATTCTTGAATGCCTGACAAATTACAATGAGGAAGGAATCTATTCACCACCTAGATCAGTGGCTGCCAAATACTTGACTCTCAGGACCCCATTAGGCTCAAAAAGTATCCTGGACTTCAAAAAGTTTTGTTGATTTGATTTATATTTATACTTATTAATATTTATCATAGAAAAAACACAAACTAACAATCTAAAAATATTTAGTGATTTATTTTAAAATAGTAATAATAAACCTATTACATGTTAATTAAATAACATTTTTATTTAAAATCTATTTTTTTTTTTTTTTCAGATGGAGTTTTGCTCTTGTTGCCCAGGCTGGAGTGCAATGGCCCGATCTCAGCTCACCTCAACCTCCGCCTCCCGGGTTCAAGCGATTCTCCTGCCTTAGCCTCCCGAGTAGCTGGGATTACAGGCATCCGCCCAGCTAATTTTTGTATTTTTAGTAGTAGCTAGTCTCCAAATGTGATCTGGAGAATAAGACCACATTTGGAGACTGGTTAACCTACAATATGTGTAGACAACACAATCCCAAATTCTTAAGTGGATACAATTTTCTCACTTATTTCTATTCTTTTCTTTTGCTCTTAAAATGCCTAGTGCCCAGGGTCTTCATTCCCCCTTCCGGTTGTGCAAAACCCTTTCCCCACCGTGACACCAGTGTGGGACTGACCTGTCCGTAGTGCCACCCTTTCCCCGCCATGACACCAGAGTGGGGCCGACCTGTCCGTAGTGTCACTTGTTCTCAGTGTGCTAATTTCTGTAAGTCAAAATATATCTATTTTCTGATGGTCCCCTGAGGATCCAAATAAGTAACATGCTAGTTTAATGAACTTGGCTGTTAATTGGTGATAATCATTTAATGGCTCCTCCATTCTTCATACAATATTGTATTTAAACAAATCTTCAGTGTCTCCACCCAGACAAATTACTTATATGTAAATGTACCCAGTGAGAGGACTTTCGTGTCACTTTCCCCAGATGACATCTCTTCTCTCTGTGCAGAGTCCTGACCCTATGCACAAGTGTGCAATGAATATCGTCATGTATAATGCATATATAAGACATTTGAATAAATGCTTAGATTATTTTGGATTCCTTAGTAAATGCCAGTTTTGATCATGAAAAGTAGACAGAACCTAGACAAAAAAAAAAAAATACTGGCAGAAAAACCAAACAGCAACAATACTACAAACTCAGATGCACTGACATCTGAGTAACAATGATAGCCTCAGTTCCTTAAAACCTCAATATAGGCTTAACTTTTTTTTTTGAGACAGAGTTTTGCTTTGTTGTCCACGCTGGGATGCAGTGGCGCAAATTTGGCTCATTGCAACCTCTGCCTTCCAGGTTCAAGCAATTCTTGTGCCTCAGCCTCCTGAGTAGCTGGATTACAGGCACTCACCACCATGCCCAGCTGATTTTTTGTGTTTTAGTGGAGACGGGGTTTCATCATCTTGCCCAGGCTGGTCTCGAACTCCTGAGCTCAGGGAATCCACCTGTCTCGGCCTCCCAGAGTGTTAGGATTACAGGCATGAGCCACCATGCCCGGCCAACTTTTTTTAATAATCGAAAATTAATAGCATTTTTTGGCTGGGCACAGTGGCTCACACCTGTAATCCCAGCACTTTGGGAGGCCGAGGCAGGCAGATCACTTGAGCTCAGGAGTTCAAGACCAGCCTGGACAACATAGCCCCCATCTCAAAAAATAAAATTAATGGCATTTAAAAAATATTTACAATAGAAGAGCTTTTAAAACTATAAGCAGATTCTGGGCATTGGTTGTGAGCATCTTGTCCATCCAAAAAGAGCAGAAAATGGATCTGGGTTGACTTCACTGAGTCGCTTGAAACTCACAGAAAGATGACATGGAGCTACTGAGCCATGGTGTTAATGAGCATCACTTTCCACAGTTGCCTCTAGACAATGAGGCCAGATGCTCGTGGTGCAGGATGGGTAATTAATGCCTCCAGTTGTCCCGTGTTTCCTGAGGAAACAATGTTTAAGAACTGCCACAAACTGCGCCTCACAGATTGGAGTAGCTAAGGAAGAAAACCTCAGAAGATTTTACGTCACTTTTTTTTTTTGAAAAGACACAGACCAATCTATTTAGAAAAATATTTTTATTATATGGGAAGCAAAATATTTTTTTTTCTAAAGCACCAAATGTACAGCATCCACTCAAGGGGAACAAAAGGTCTCCCAAACTCTCCAGCCTCACACTGGGGCTCAGCTCTCCGGTAACTTGATCCATTTGTAACTCCAGGCTCTTTCCACGAGTTGTCCTCTAATTCTATAAAATCCAGTTGTACAGCCAGAGGAAAACTCAGAACAGGCACACAAATTTTTGTACTTTGGTTACTGAAAGGGATTTTGTCTTGTTAATCTTGAAGGATTGGCAGAGCAATTTTATCACATTTTCTGAAAAAAATCTATACAGATTTAAGGTCGCATTCTGGATTTAATTGAAGTAACCTTTTGTACAATCTAGCTTTAATGAAGTGCAATGAAGTTAAACTCCGTGGGGGCCATTAATCTGAAACACTCCATTTAAGAACTACAAGGGGAGTTTTTAATAAACAGTGTGAACTAATGCCCATGTGGAAAGGTAATTGAGAGGGAGCTGGTGTCTGGGCCAGATTGTTATTAAACCCTTATCACAGGTAAAGCTGAAACCCCAATGGCAAGCTGCTCTGTGATTTATCGTGCCCTTCTCATCCTAACTTTAAAGAAAAGGCTACGTTTAATAATGAAAAAATCCTGTGACTAAGCTATAAAATAACTGAGCAATTACTTAGAATAATTTATACAGTGCAATACATTGACCTTGCTTTAAGCATAAAATCTACAAAATAACTTTGGCCATAAAACTGTGAACTACTAAAAGTACTAAAGGTTTTAACCATTTTTATTGGGTGGTGCCTGGGGGGACCATAAATACGTGTTACACTCTAATCACAGGGCTTAAGAAAATTCATAATTTTTTATCTTAAAATGGCTTTTTGAGAAAAGTTTTCTCAATTTGGCCAATTGCAAATCACGAAGTCTAATGCCGTTACTTTAAAAGGATTATATATAACGTCCACAATATTATTTCCCCATGTGTGAGTTCTGCCTCACTCTCTCTTTTGACTCCCAGCCATGGCTGATGAAGGAAAAATGGCAATAACTTTTCTGTATTACCTATTTAAATATTTACTCTTTTGAAAAAAGAAGGCAGTGGGATCTGTTGCAACAGAAAGGATTGATACTATCTCCCAGCCCACTGAGACAAGGATGCGTCTATTTCTGGGTAAGTAAATACATTCCTCCCCTCAGCAACGCACAGTCAATGTTTCCACTTTCCACAGTGGCTTTCAACAGCAAAGTTCAGCCTTTACTCCAAACTGGCATCAGAGCAGGACATAACCAAGCATAACATATGACTCTCATTGCCTTCAATTTTTCAATCACTGCAGCTGAGCAAACACGTTTTCCCTGAAGGCTTTGAATCATGGAATTATCCCCACAGATCGTCTTCCAGTTGACTTTAATTCCACTAAATCCAGTCGATTTCTGCAAGATTGGAATATCAGCACATTGACACCCTGTGGAAACAAATTTTCAAGGCAGCAACTTTTGACACAAAACTATTTATTCCTAAGGTTTATCTTGCTTCACCCCTGATAAAATGAGCCAGTTTAGCTCCCAAAGGAAAACAAAGCCACAGGATGTTGTCCCTGGGTTGGCTAAACAGAGATACTTGCGGGAAACCTCACAGACAAAAATACTGCCTGAATATACCATCTTTGTTACTCGTAGAGCTACAGGCATCAGAAAGTTACTGCATGGAAGCAAAAAGGTTTTATGGTATAATGCAGTAATCCATGATTAAATCTCTTAAATATATCATCTGAAGGTTCATTAAAAGACTGGGGCACAGGATGGGACATAGGAGATGATCTGGGAGTTCCAGTCCCGGTGATGCCCTTCAGAAAATGAGCCCCAGGGACCTCAGGGAGGTGTGGCCTCCATTCAGGTTATCTGAGCTAGGGACTGGCTAGAGTTGCATGCGGTCACAGAAATGGAGGATAGTGTACTGCAAAAAGGAAAAGACAGCACCATTGTTCAGAACATGGCCCTGTTGCTGGGTCTCCAGAAGGCAAAATGAGCTTCAGAGGAACAACACAGCCATGAATAAAAGCCTGATTTTTCACCAGCCCACAGACCAGCCAATCTCCAGCTGGAGCCCAATTCATACAGGAGAAAGCAGCCTTTCTGGTGAGGGACCATGTAGCTGTCTTCTTCTAGGAATGGGGAATTGCCTTAGGAAAGAGACTAAAATTTCAACATTTAGCTCTACACACCCTCACAGAACTCCACTAACACACCATAAAAGTAATTTTTTTAGGTCCTAGACCTGTAAGGATATGGAGAAAGATCAAAGAAACCATAATTAGAAGGCAGAAAGGCAGGTGGTAACTGACTTGGTGGACCAAAGAAAGATGACTCCTCACTCAACCAGCAGTAAGGAAGCCAGTGGCCAGTTGGATTTGAGCCATGAGATTCCCAGAGGTTCAGCAGGGAACCCTGAGGTGCTGGAAGTAGAATGAAGGTGAAGGACGGCTTGGTAGCCACTTTAAAAACAGATAGACTTCCAGATCCACACTCTAGCAAGAAAATGGAAGGCTAGTCATTTGAGAAGATAAATGTAAATGTTCAAGATGTCGTCAGAGATGGTTATGTTGAAAAGGGAAGATGAAGTGAAACTGGATCCTGGATGCTGAGGCCCTCCTTCGACCCCAGCAATCTTCTTCCCTTTAGTTCCCAGATCATTGCTAGACGTTCACCCTCTGCAGAAGATTGTAAGGTTTTCTCTGAGGACTCTGTTCCGCCCAAGAGAAGAGACAAAAGTCACTAACATCAAGGATTCCCCAGTACAACCAGTATAACCAGTATAACCATCAAGGATTCCCCAGTACAATGGCTCAACCAGATCATCCTACATCAGAGCCCATATAGCAACCCACAAATGTGCTCAGGGCTTCCAATCAGCTTCTTCATCTTCTACTTTTAAATACGACCAGAGATACAAGGAAATCTAACCATCTGAAAAAAACATCACTGACCTGAAGGAAAGAAAAAATAAACACAAAAGCATGCTAAACACATTTTGGAGGATACTATAGAAAAACTATTTAGAGAGAATACAATGTTTCCCTCAAAAAGATTATTACTATGCTCAGAAAAGTAAGAGGAAATAGTGCAATCATGAAACAAGAACAAGATGTTATTAAAAATGAACATTGAGAGGACTGAAGCAAGCTCTTGGAAATGTAAAATACGATAGTAAAATGTTGCCTCCCCACAAGAAACTATAGAAGTTTAGAAAAAAGAACTGAATAAACCTCACAGGAAATAGGGCAAAATTTCTAAATTATATAAAATAAAGAAGAAAAGGCCATCAGTGCAGGATGATCATTGTCTGGTAGGAGTTCCAAAATGAGCAAAATGAGAAAATTCCCGCAAGACCAATGTGGGTTGATTGCTACCTTCAAATATATTTTTGTCTGCAGATCCCAGTAACTGCTTCCTTCCCATGACCCCAAACCTAGGTATGGAAAAAGACTTTTGCTCGTACTGGCCCCAAGTTTCTTCAGCCTTCCACATCTTTGTAAACCATCCCTTTATTAAATGCTTCTTGAAGTTTCTTACTAGAGCTTGCCCTCTGAATCCTGACAGATAGAGTCCCATGCATTCTGTACCAGCAAGCTCCTGGAGGAGGTGCATCCCCAAAACAAGGAGGTATTCGAAATCAGAGGAAGGCTCAAGCAAGGAAACAGAGGAGCAAAGTGAGAAGGGAATCCCTACAGTGATGGTGGAGGGAAAGTCCAGGAACATACAGCTGAGCGTGGGGCCTGAAAGCAAGAACCCTGCATTGAATCAGGCCCAAAGTTTCTGGAAAAGGTTTACTCAAGAAGACAGAAGTCTCAGAACACCTAATGTCTGGGAAATTTGAGAAAGGAGATTTGGACAACTAGCAGGGAGTTTGGAGTTAAATTAGTAATCAAAACATACAGACATAAACAATGAAAAAAACAGCTATTAGTCCAGAAAAGACAAAAAGTCATATAGGAAAGGAAAAGCAATCATAATTTGCCACAGGCTCAGCACTGAGTGACAGTTACAAAAGTCAAAATAAATGAAAACAATGAATATTGATCTAACCAAAAGTGTAACCAATGGGGAGGATGCTTGTGGCAGAGGGAGGAGGAAAGAAAGGAAAGCCCTCGCTTCCATAAATAATGCCTGAAATTGAAAATTTCTTGAAAAGTAGCAATAAAAGCACGCTATTTTAAAATATAGAGGCAAACACCAAAAAAAAGAAAAAAAAGGCAGTAAAGTTTAAAGCTATTATATTTCCTCTGGAAAAGATGTAATGGAAGAGGAGGATAGCAGATTACTATTCTGCACAACAGACCCTATGGAATTATTTAATTCTTCACACTATACATATGCAACTTTAAAAAAAAAAAGAATTAAAACTAAATGGAGGTCAGAAGAAAAAGGGTAAGGAAGAGAAGAAAGGGAGAGAAGGAGGAAGAAGATAGGGAGGGAGACTTAGTTGAAAAAAAATTAAACTGGCTCAAATAAAAATGGTAGGGCACAGACAGCAGAATGTGGAGCCACCTCAGCTTCCAGAGCCCGCCTCGCTGCAGCTTCCAGAGCCCGCCTCCCTGCAGCTTCCAGAGTCCGCCTCACTGCTCCCTGGCCCTCTCTCCTGCTGGCTGGCCACATGCACCAAAACTTGCTGTTCAACGGGATATGCTCATAGCTATGGTTTCCAGCAGTCTCTCCTGCCCTCAGCTAAGCCTGGTCCTGGCAACTCCCCACCACACCCCACTGTGCCCGACTGCAATTCTTGGGCACTAAATCCTCCCTGTCTCCTGAAAACACTCATCTGTTCTCCAACAAGGAGCACACAGCACCTGGAACTTTGTGGAGATTCTCCCTGAATTTCATACCACAGTTCTCCACCTTCAACCTTCCCTCCTCTAGGACCCGTGGTTGGTTTTTTAACACTTATGGGGGTGTCTGTTTTATGCAAGTTACTTCCACTGAGCTTAGATTTTGCATATTCAGAAATAGACGTTTAAAAATGAAAATAAACAAAAATAACTTCTAAAAAATATGTGCTAATTGCTTAGCTTGTGCAATTGAACTACTGAACTTACCACTGACATGCACTGTGGAGAAAGAACCATCCTCTCGGCATTGAGCATCAGCTTATCCAAGCCAGCAACGAACCCACACAGCTGTGCCCACCTTGTTCTGTTATACAAGATCCCCACAATGGGAGTTACCTTTCACATTTCATCCAGTATTTTCATCCTCAGCTGGATTTGCAATCATAGATATCAGCTCATTTGACCTTCTGGCAGAATCTCTTTTCTACCTCTCAAGATCTAAGTTGACATTGAATCAAATATCTTATTAACATATGCAGACAAAACTATGGGCCCAACTGAAATAATTTCTCATTTGCCATGCTATAAGTTCACTTGTGCACCTAACAGAGAGAGTCTACATTAGACAGGATGCCAGGTGTGGTATCTGCAGAACAATTGGACCTTAATCTCCCCATTGTCAGACTGACTGATTGCATCATATCCAGGTCCCATCACATAGTTACTGGGCTCACCAATACCACTATTGATAGTCAAATCTCCCTCCTGTAGTCAACCTGAGAAAAATCTATTAAGTGAGACACAGGAAAATCCCTAGACACACCTTACAAGGACTAAGAGTCCTCATAGCATGAGCTGATAAATGAGGAAGCCTAGGAAAGTTCTAGCAAGTGGGGAATCCAATGAGACTGTACAGCTAAGGAGTGTGACCTACCTGCCTTGGAAAATCAGAAAAGATTGCCTCAGAAAAGTCCTTTAGCTTTCCATAGACTTAAATATCAAGGTTATCAAGGTTATGTTGTAAAAAGCAGAAATTACTGCCTACCCTGCAGAAGGGAGTGTAAAGATTGGGTGCTAATGACACTGAAAGGAGGAGTGACCTCTGGGCTGAGTCTCCAGGAAGGACCCCCAGCAACCCTGCAGAGCCATCCAGAGGGATGGCCCAGTCAGGAAGGCAGGAATCCAGAGACAACTGCCTTCTATACCCACCCAAGCTGGTGGCCAGACACTGCACAGGGCTACAGAAAGACCCTCCTTCCCCACCGCAGAGCCTGCCAGCAGGAGGACACCTCCTTCTCTGTTCTGACTTGCAGTCCGTACCTAAGAGAATCTGATTGGTGAGGCCAATTTGCATCCAGAAACTCAGGCAGAAGGGTATCTGGGAAACGTAGTTTTCGGCTCTGCAGCCGCTACAGTCCAGGAAGATGCAACCAAAGGAGGAAACAGGTGCTCAGCCTTCATCTACCACAGATTAGGTAATTAATCTAATGCACCTGATTTACCACACAGGCCTCAAAGCACGGCTTTCCCAACAGCCTCTACCTGTAGTCATATTTCGGGAAGACTTCCTCACCTCTGTCAGCTGAGACATGGAACTGCACCCACAGCTGTTGGTGCAATAAATACAATAGCTGAAACTACTGTGTGTTTGCTTTTACACTACTGTGTGCCCACTTTAAAGTTTAAGAAGCTGAGGAACAGAGAGGTAAAATAGCATGCCCAAGGGCACAGTCACAAGTGGTTGGAGAAAACTGGCTCCGTAATTTCTGATCTTACTCTCTAAACTATATAAACGAAAACCATATAAAAATTTACAGTCCAGACTATCTAGCCTGAGAGATGTAGGAGGCAGGCCTCGGGCTTTTACCAATGGCCCTGTGCCATCTAACTTCAATGATCTGATATCTCACTGAGCCCATATCTTAATCTCCTGCCTGGGGGGACCTAGATGGAAAGAGGAAAAGGGCTTGCTGCCACTGTCCTCTCTCCTTGTTCCCAGAAAGCATTAGACCGCAGAAGGTGGAATGCTAAAGAGAGAGGCAACTGCAGGATCAGCTCCCGAGGAGCCGCAGTTTCACAAGCGGTGTGGTCATCCCCACAGACAATGAATAATGCACCATAAATAAAGACTTGGACACTCCCACAAGATCTAGAGTTGTGCCTTTTTCTATGCCTGGCCCTTTCAAAAGTCCCATCTCAGAAATAGAGGGGTGGAGGAAGACGTGAGCTCCCCACAGTAACAGGGCAGCAGGAGCTCCTGTTCCCACAAGGGAGCCTCAGACCTCCACACCCAGAGCTTGACTCCAAGCTCCACCAGGCTCAACCTCTACCCATTGCTCCGCAAAAACTCTGGTCCCATAGACCTCCGTCCAGAAATCCTGCCTATCCAGACTCATGCTGACTAGATCCTGCCTTTGCCCGACCCCACCCTGACACCAGTGTATTTAATTCAATCTGTGTTCACACTGTTGCCCTTCCAAACCTGCCACAGCCCCTCAAGAACAGGATGTGGGAACGTACAACAGAATTTCTCTCCCCTCTCAATTCTCAGTGTTCAATTCTTGCAGCTTCTATAACTGCAAAGATAGGCGTGCAGACCCTTTAGTGAGCAAAGAAATACAGTTCCCAAGAAGAAATTGATCTTAAAGTGTTTGAGTTAGTTTTCCTCAACAAATGTAATGTTAAAATTTCAGAAAAAACTTTAAGACTTTTCAAAGGCTCATTGGACATCAAATAGTTCTCACATAACTGGCTACAGTGTAAATTAATCAAAATTACATACCTTTAATGTCCCTTAAAATGCAGTATTTCATATTTTTTAGGGGTCCATTGAACCTTCAGAATAAATCTGGGGAGGGAGAACTAAGAAAGGACAAATTAAGGGGATAGAGATTTGGGGAAGAGTGAAGACGGCAATTATGGGGAGAACATAATACAGGGAGAGAACGGAAGAACTTGAATAGTGAGAAGAGGGAATGGAAGCAGAGAGTAAGGATGTGTAAGGAGAGTAAGGAGAGTAAGGCAGGAGGCAGTGAGAAAGGAATGGACAACAAAAGACACTTGCTCACCACCGATCCCCAACACACACACACTCACACACTCCCACACTCACACACTCACACACACTCACACACTCACACGCACTCACACACTCCCACAGACTCACACACTCACACTCTCACACACTCCACACACACACACCCACACACGCTCACGCATACACTCACACACTCACATGCACACTTGCTTGCACACACTTACACGCACACACAATTACACACACTTGCAAACACACACATGCTCGCACGTGCACACACACACACGCACAATCTCACTTTGCCTGTTTCCAAACTTAACGTTTTCCAGCCAGTGGGTCCTCACCGGTTAAGTTAATGTGGAAAAGACTATTCTGTCATCCAGAGAACCCACAGCTCAGTGCCTGTTCTGAGGACACAGGCATGTGACTTTCAGCAAGTTGCTGACAATTTCATCATCTCATCTCTATGTAATCAGGGTGATAGGTTTCCAGACATGAGAGTACTGGGACTCCATGAACAAAGAGAAGAAGACACTGAGGCAGAAAATAAGAACCAAAGTACAAGAAGTGAAGATTAAAGTTCATCTCGCTCATTCAGAATCCTGGCCTCGAGAGAACTGCAGATGGAGTCCAAGGGGCTCCACCACTAGAGTAAGAGTTAACGTTTCTGTTTCCATTAGGAACGGCAGGCTGATGCCCGGGCAGATCATTCTGAGGAGAACACTCGCTACTCTCCTCCAAAAGAAGCCGCCCAAAAAAAGGGGGAGGCAGGAGGCTGACGAGGTCCTGGGTGTCTTCCTCTCCCCCAAGTCTTCTGAACTGCTTTCACCCGTGCCCAGCGGCCTCTTCTTCTGGTCTCCCCTCCAGGTCCTAACTGTTGCTAGCAATCCCCTGCTATGATGGTGAACTCAAAAAACAAAACAAAACAAAACAAAAACAATGTCTGAGACGGGTGTGAATCCATTTAGAGGCTTACTTTGCCAAGGTTGAGGACGTGCCTGGGGAAAAGAGACACAAGTCACAACTGGTCTGTGGCCAGCACTTTTTTTCAAAGAGGATTTTGAGGGCTTCAGTATTTAAAGGGATAAAGTAGGCAGGCGGCAAAGAAGGGAAAAAAAGAGAGGGAAGGTATAGTCACATTTTTTGAGGCTTCGATTAGCAGTCAGTGAACCTACATGTCACACGTGACAAGGAGGAGGTAGAGGAACAATCGATTATGTATTCACCTCGTGCTGAGTAAATCTGCACTTTATGTGAGATAAAATAAACACGGAGTAGAGGAAGAAGACAAATATGCATTCATCTCAGGTGGGCGGAGGGACTGTGCCTCGTCTCCTCTTGTCCAGTACCATGAAGATAAGCTGTTAGTTTACTTTGTCAAGGTGAGGGAGGCCCCCTGGGGAGACACGTGGCCTTCTTTCTCTAGCTGTCTGTTTAGGAACAAAAGGAAAGGCGGGGTTTTTTTTTACATGACTCAGTTTCCAAGTTCAACTTTTCCCTTCAGCATAGTGAGTTTAGGGTCCTGAGATTTTCTTTTCTTTTCACAATAGAGGTCATCATAGGTGATCCTCGGTGATGATGAGGATGATACAATGATGGCGATGACAACCCAAAACTGTAATAACTAGGAGAGAAAAGAGAAAAGGGGACAGAAAAGAGAAGGGAGAAAAGAAGGAAGAATAAGGAGGAGCAGGAAAGAAGATGCTACGCCCCACTAGCAGTGCTGGCTGCTTCGTTTCTTCTTCTTTCCCAAATATTTGTGTCATGCCTGCCTTCCACTTAGCTTCTTGACAGTGGGGTCAAGGCCAACATGACGCGCCCCCCCACCCAGGGAGTTTACAGAGTAGGAAGGATTCCAACACCTCCTGATGCACCGTGGCAGGTGCCGTGATAAAAACGCAGTTACACAGATACACCCGGCCAGGGATGGTGGTCAGGGACCTCACCACATTTGTGTGCTACAACTATGAGTGGATCAGAGGGGAATGAGGTTGTGGAGGCAGGATGACCATGAACAGATTATCATAAGAAACAAGGCGAGAATGTTGGTGGCCCGGGCTGGGGCAGAAAAGGTGAGGAGTTGGTGCTGTACTGATGGAATTTCGTGGTTAAAGAGGTGTGGAGGGCACAGCGGAGGAGGAAGTCAAGGACAAACTCCAAGTGTGTGGATTGGCCTGCCGGGTGGATGGTGATTTCATTTACTAACTTTCAGGGCACACAAGAAATGGTACGTGCTGAGGATGAGTTCAACTTTGGACAGATGAGTTTTAAATACATAGGTGTCAACTGATTGTAAACAACCAACGGGTAAGTGAGCATATAAGGCTGCTGTTGTGAATGGAAAGAGATGCTATCAAGGAAACAGGATTTCTGTGCAGCCTGGAGGGCTCAGGTGCAGTCGGAGATCATAATAGTGGCTCCAGTCTTCACAATGGCCTACATTGTCTCTTCTGATTCTTTTTCAATGCTGGGTGGTATGTATCTTTATCCTCGTTATTAAGAGGAGAAAAGGCTCAGAAAGCTTAAGTAGTGTGCTTCAATTCTCACAGCTTGTCTAGACCGGACTCAAATGCAGATCCGTCACAGCCTAAAGCTGAGGTTCCAGCCACCACACCGAGCTGTCTTCAGTCAAGAGTTAACTCATCTCTCCCCAGAGCCATTGTCCTGAAGATGCGAATATAATGATGATGAAATGTGTCCCTCTCCTTCAAGAAAATCAGAGTCTAGTGGACAGGGAAGGACATATAAGTAGCTACTAACTTGTGATGTGCTGAAAATAAAATAGCGTCATTATAAATAAACAAAATCCTCAACACTACAGCGGAGTGGAGTCCAGGGAGCAGAGAGAAAACTGAGCTGGGATGGATTATTTGAATTGAACTTAAAGAATGAACGGGCCTCGCATATAACCTGGATGATAATTATTTTTTTCACATTTACAAATGAGGTGAAAAGGCTAAACCAAAAACCCCTGCCAACCAACACATGTCTTTCCATAAAGTCCCCAACTGCTGGCTTCAAGAGCAGCCCCACTGGAAGCTTATTTCGGGACGTAACCCACGGTCACTGGTGCTTTGCTTCTTTGGGGCAACACCACGTGGATGGTCACAAGCCAGCTGACTCGGTGAAGTCACACCATCTGAGGCTTGCTGTGCACAACCTTCCCGGGTGAAGGTGCCTTCTGCAAACCTAGTGAGACCATTTGTACATCGAAGGGATGCTCCCCTGAACATTCACCATCATCCTGTTGGAATAACCATCTCTTGCTTCAAACTGAGGTTCTCCCATATTCCATATAGGTCTATTCATTACTTGTTAATGGTTGTCATTTATTACCCCCTTGTTTATTACTGAAATTATGATTCATTAAGTAATAAAAATCTGCTTGGAACATGCAAAAGGAATAAGCTCCTCATTGTTTCAAAGCGTCTTTGCGGATTTTATTGTGCTCTTTTAGGAATAATTTTTTTCTCTTCTATTGAAAAAGAACCATCTCTATGAAACCATGTGGACCAATAAATTATTCATGTATATCCATCATTTTAGGTTAAAAAATAGCTGATTTAGAAGCATTTGTATTGTCAAATTCTATTGCTTTGCAGTTCTGTTCAGTTTCCGTCACCCCCGGCAACTCACACTGCATCACAGCCAAGCTCATCACCTGGAACACTGCCTTTGTGCCGTGCTCCTCCTCACACGGCTCCCTGTTGCTGCCACATCTCATCCAGGCTCCTCCCTGATTACCTTGATGGCAACACCCATCAGCTGCCACACACTCACTTCTGCTACTCTCCACACCAACTCCCTTCTCCAGTCAGCAGGATTTCTTACCAAGCCACATCTCCTCTCCACCCTACACCTACAGGCAAATGCCAGGCTCATCTCCAGCACTTGGCCTCTGCTCCTTTACTCAGCCAGTATTTACTGCCTTGCGACTATTGCCCAGGCCCGGTGAAGGCTGTTCACATATGTAAGACAGGCTCCCTGCTTCTCAATAGCTTATTCCTCTAACAGGCAAGACAGGATACCCAGGTAAATAATTTCCAGAGTATGACAGGTGTTCCAACAGGCATAGGCAAGCTCTACTTCAGCGTCCAAGGAGAACTCTAGCCTGAGTAATACGCCATCTTACCCCTTCTTAGGACTTTCACGTGGGCTGGCATCATCTCCCCATTACATTGCACAATTCAAGGGCAAGGACTCTGTCTCCCAGTTTCTTTGTTTACCTCGCTATACCTAGCATGCTAGGAAATGATTAGACATGTATATTGTATCTAAACTTGTAGTATAATACACCCATTTTATAAAGATTTGAGTTCAGTTTTCTCTCTGTCTTCTTTTTCTGGAGACAGGGTCTCACTCTGTTGCCCAAGATACAGAGCAGTCCTGCAACCATGACTCACTGCAGCCTCGTCCTCCTGTGCTCAAGCCATCCTCCTGCCTCAGCCTCCCCTGTAGGTGAGACTCCAGGCATGTGCCACCATGCCTGGAAAATTTGTAAAGTTTTTTCTAGAGAGGCTTTCTCACTGTTTCCCAGGCTGGTCTCGAATATCTTGCCTCAAGTGATTCTTCCACCTCTGCCTCCCAAAATGTTGGGATTACAGACATGAGTCACCATACCCACATAATTTCTTAAAGAGTAGTACAAATAATAAATAGAATAAAATACATTTTTTAATAAAAATTTCAGTTTTTAATGGGAAAATATGGATTATATGTATCTAATAAAAATAATCTTCAGTTGATACGGTCCTAATTTTTAAAACATGACTATGTGCTTCATTCATTCATTCATTCATGCTCTCAACAATCGTATACTGAAGACTCACTATGATCTAAGTGCTGGCACTTTCTCTACAAGGACAACAAAATGGCCAACTCTGAGGAGCTTCTGTTCTGAGAACTCTCCAAGAGGAACACAATTCTGAACCTTGACCTCCAAGGGCTTTCTGATGTCCCAGAGCCACTGCATCACTAAGTTGGGGCCACCATGCACAGCAGGTTATTCCAAGCATTTCCAAGCTATGGATATATATTTTGTCCATTGTATTTTTTTCTCCCTTTACTTAAAAAAAAATTTGATGTGGTCTGCAATGTGACTGCCCACTGGTCAGCTCCAGCACGGACCACAAACAGCAGGGGGCTTAGAGCACAAACTAAATGGGGTCCACCACACCCTGCTTTCATCTCCCAATATTTTTCATGACTTTTCCCAAAGAGATATAAGCATTAGTGGTTCTGAACTACTATGCCCATAGCATTTTATTACAGTTTGCCCATATAAAGAGTTTTTGTGGCCCGTATAAAGCAGCAACCTCTTTGATAAGTGACATACAGCATTTCCATCCACCCAGATCCAGGGCTGACCTAGAACACAAAGAGAATTCACCAAAGGCTTTCACCAAAATTCTCTATTTTTCTTTCTGCCTTTCGAGAACTAATTTCTCTTAAAAGAAAGAAAATTATCCGTGGTTTCCACTTAAGCCAAACGGCCAGACAGCTCCCAGGAAAAATCTAGAGAGAGGAGGATGATTGGAGAGGCGGAAAGAGAGGACATATACCTCCTTCCTTCTTATCAAGTCCCAATACTCTGCTGCTCAAGGGAATATGGAATCTCAGAAGTACTTGATATGAAAATGACAAAATTCATTTATTGACAGTTGGGTAAAATTGTATCCTAACACAATCACAGAGAGTGCTGTCGTTACTTGAACAAAATAAAGCAACACAAAAACATTTGGCCAATGAGGTTCACAGGACGCAAGAGACTACAAGCTGGTGAGTGACAGGCATACGTTCAAGCCTTGCACTGTCACGGTATGGGGTCAGATCTTCAGAGAAGTTTTGACAAAGGATTTCACTGCCCTCACAATACATTTTATGCCTCTCCTAAGAAACGCTTAATGTCTGCAATTATGTGTCAGCCACCCAAGAGCCTCAGAACGCTATGCAACCGCAGCATGCAAAAGCAAACGTGTCAGAAAGGAAAACTGGGACGCTACTGCCCTCTGCTGGACACACAGGCGAAGGGCGATTCCTGCACCGTCTTTACCGCACCTGGGAGGAGTTCTGGGCATAGCTGCGTGCAGCTGGCGACACTTTACTCAATACAAGAGGTCTTGAGTGCGCAAGGCCTCATCTGGGTCATGGACCCTGCATGACTCTTGTGACTGCTTAGATAAACTACATCTCACCAAGGATGACTCAAAGCAAGGAGTGATATTGAAATATTTTAATTGTTCTTTTTCAGTAGCTGTTATATATTGAAGAAAACGCTTTTGTCAATGTGAAAAATGCCTATTAACGTTTATTCATAACAGTAAACAATTACCACTGCGGTATGTCAAAAGAGATGGGGATGCCAGTATGAACAGGAAAGAGCTGTCCTATCTCACAGGTCAGCGACGTTACACAGTCCAGTGAGGACACGTATGTATGTCTCTTGTGTGTAGATTTGTTTTGTTTTTGAAACCAATACCTTCTTCAAATGTTGCCTTGAAGTACACATTGCAATGGGGTTGACTTAGTTTGAAAATCACTTTGTATTTGGCAAATGCCCAGTCAGGGACCGCAGCCTAGACACACAGAATGCAGCCATGTGAAGGCCATCCAAGTTCAAACACAAACGAAAAAATTAGTGTGTCCAGTTTCCAGTCGTAATAACTTTACCTTACAGACAAGCCGCTGATTCTCGGGAAGTCTGCTTCCCTCCAAATCCAGCTCATTTGGAAGGGAGGAAAACAACATTTAATGAGCCCCTCTCTGTCCTACGCGTCAGCCCATGCAGCCTCACAACTGCACCTTGGGGTACCCAGGATTACGGACATTTTACAGGTGAGATCACGCTCAGAACGCACGTGCAGAAGAGGCAACTGGCAGTCACACATGGCCCACCATGTCTTAGACTTGGAGACATAATCTCACCTGCACATCAGACTCTCTCGACAAGACCCTTCTAAGCTAGGTGGAAAGAGGTAAGTCAAGGAGAGAACACCCAGAGTCTTAGCCCTGATGCTGCACTGACATATCCACGGTCGGGGACACATCCTAATGCTTCCATGCCTCAGCAGCTACATCTGTACAAGGGGACACTCAGTCTCAAACTTGCCTCACTTCATCGTCAGTCAAATGACTCTTTTTTACCCTTGGGTTCTTGGTACTGAGAAGTATTTAAATTAGTCTTTTTTTAAAGTGGTTGCGTGAGCCAGGTGCAGTGGCTCACACCTGTAATCCCAGCACTTTGGGAGGCTGAGGCAGGTGAATCACCTGACGTCAGGAGTTCAAGACCAGGCTGGCCAACATGGTGAAACCCCATCTCTACTAAAAATACAAGTTAGCCAGGTGTGGTGGCAGGCCCCTCTAATCCCAGCTACTTGGGAGGCTGAGGCAGGAGAATCACTAAAACCCGGGAGGCGGAGGCTGCAGTGAGCTGAGATTGAGTCACTGCACTCCAGCCTGGGTGACTGAGAGAGACTCCGTCTCCAAAAATAATTATAATAAAGCAGTTGTGTAGACCAGAGTGAAGAGCTCTGACTCTAGAAGTCCACAAGGCTGGGTGCAAATCCAGGCACTGCCACTCACCAGCTCCACAACCTGTGAAACTCCAAGCCCAAGTTCCCTGCCATCACCCACAAGAGTAACCGGCCTCCTGCAGTGTTGTTCTACGAATCCCAGTAGCCTGCCCCATGGCCAATGCTCAACAAATGCTCATTCATTTCTCTCCCCAGTTACCTTCAAATGTGATGAGTTCTTTATGTAACTTGAGAATTTAAATCCATCTGGGGAAAGAAACTAGATGATTCTCAGGGCCCTTCCAGTCCTGTACTTCTTAAAGTATTACTATGCAAAGTTTTTCTAAGTACTTCTGTAATCCTCGCATGATTACAGAAGCCAGAAGCAGCTTAAAAGGTACCCAGTTCTGTTCTCTTACTTTAGAAATAAATTTTGACCTAATGGGCTCACCCAAGAAGAAACCAAGACTAGAATGTAGCCCAGTGGGCTCCAAAAGACATGATAATGCTGCTTTAACCTACCCCTAACCAGAATGTTCTAGAGCACACACGGCTGCACCCTCTGAGCTATGTGGGGTTGGTAGGGTGAGCCTCACCTCAAATCCCAAAAGGCAGGATGGAAAGCAGGTAGCGCGCCTGATTAGAGAGCTCCTGCAAACCAGCATCATGAGAGGGACTTTTTAATAATCTGGGTAGAAATAAGCCTATAGTCTTAAACACATTTTTAAAAATATGCAGGATTTATCTTGTGTTGGGAATGTGAATAGATTAGCAAAAGCTTCAGCTGAGCACAGTAATGTAAAACCAGCCAACTAAATAAAACCAGAAGGTCTGAAGGAAAGGGAATTACCTGGGCAGAGCTGGGAATTGGAAGATGTTTAACCACAGACATGCCCCACCCCTTGGCTTCCTGTGCTCTGCAACCCCCACCTTTGGGGGACATTTGAGGCAGTGCTCATCCAGTCATAGCGTAGGCCTTTTGCCTCATTTCATTCCTTCCTGAATTCATTATGGTGTTAAACAGGCCTGCCTGTGACCTCGAAAGCGGTGTGACCACAGCTTGGTCCTTGCCCACATCCAGCATCCTCAGCATCCCGTCTCCTGGAATATATCACAAAGATACTTCACTCTCAACTTAGTTTGTCTTTCAGAAATGAATACAAATAGCACCTTGTTTGATGTAATTAGACTGGGCCGGAGCTTGGGTCTGTCTCCCAGGTTTAACAACAGATGACCTGTTATGTGTCACTTCTGTGGCCCTTCCCAGCAGGGACCCCCACCCACCAGGTCTAATTTCACAGGCTTCCTAATTACTTCTTTGTGGTGTGTTTGTTTCCTTGGGTGATTAGTTTTGCAGAATCCCTGCCTGAAGAATGATTGTGGATGTGCTAGCACTGATGTATTCACTTGCCAATGCTCCCACAGCAGTACCAGGCATTTGCATTCACAAGCAGAAGTTATTACAATTTTGTCTTTGGTGTCATGCATGCACATACATATAATTATGAATGAAGATAAATAGCCTTTTAAAAAATCTCTGACAATATTTTTGTAGCACTTGCGTTCATGTGCTGTCTGAACAAATATTAATATAACGCATGACTCTTTTTGGAGTATTGACTTGTCAATATAGCACTGCACAAATCCAGAATTTTAAATACTAACCAAACAAATGTTAAGAAGAAATATTCTACCACAGAGAATCATATATAAATACAAATCTCAGCTTTCCTTTTATCTACCTGACTTAACATATATATACTAGGCATATCGTCTCTTAATTTGTAAAACCAGAAGTCAATTCTACTGGAGAAGTTCATAAACACACAGGCAACCTTCCTGCATGACATATAGCTTAATGGCATATGCATTTGCGTATTTATCTGCATTAGACAAAGATTAACTTTCAAGTCTCCATTAATGCCTAGAAGCAGAAAAATATAGATGTGTCAACCCAAGACTTTTATACAAAGAGGCTCATAGTGCCTTGCTAGTCTCAAAATCTATTCGAAAGACCACCTTAGAGAGGAGGCCCCTTTAATAAAACAGTCACTCAGCCCTTTGGATGGGCTCCCAGGGAAGGTCTCTCAAGCCTCACATTTCACAGCATAGCAAACTTGCTAAATTGGAATACATTTACATCTGTATCTTCTCTTGGTAAGATGGAAAGCCTGGGAAATGGTCTTTGGACTAGCCTCCAGTAGGAAGAAAGCTAGCTTTTCTCCTTCACTTATTTTTAAGCCTATTAAACCTCAATGTGTTGTAGAAATATGGAAATAGTCCATCTTGAATTAATTTTTGTATAAGGTGTAAGGAAGGGATCCAGTTTCAGCTTTCTACATATGGCTAGCCAGTTTTCCCAGCACCATTTATTAAATAGGGAATCCTTTACCCATTGCTTGTTTTTGTCAGGTTTATCAAAGATCAGATGGTTGTAGATATGCGGCATTATTCCTGAGTTCTCTGTTCTGTTCAATTGGTCTATATCTCTGTTTTGGTACCAGTACCATGCTGTTTTGGTTACTGTAGCCTTGTAGTATAGTTTGAAGTCAGGTAGCATGATGCCTCCAGCTTTGTTCTTTTGGCTTAGGATTGACTTGGTGATGCGGGTTCTTTTTTGGTTCCATATGAACTTTAAAGTATTTTTTTCCAATTCTGTGAAGAAACTCGTTGGTAGCTTGATGGGGATGGCATTGAATCTATAAATTACCTTGGGCAGTATGGCCATTTTCACGATATTGATTCTTCCTACCCATGAGCATGGAATGTTCTTCCATTTCTTTGTATCCTCTTTTATTTCATTGAGCAGTGGTTTGTAGTTCTCCTTGAAGAGGTCCTTCACATCCCTTGTAAGTTGGATTCCTAGGTATTTTATTCTCTTTGAAGCAATTGTGAATGGGAGTTCATGCATGATTTGGCTCTCTGTTTGTTACGGTGTATAAGAATGCTTGTGATTTTTGCACATTGATTTTGTATCCTGAGACTTTGCTGAAGTTGCTTATCAGCTTAAGGAGATTTTGGGCTGAGATGATGGGGTTTTCTAGATATACAATCATGTCATCTGCAAACAGGGACAATTTGGCTTCCTCTTTTCCTAATTGAATGCTCTTTATTTCCTTCTCCTGCCTGATTGCCCTGGCCAGAACTTCCAACACTATGTTGAATAGGAGTGGTGAGAGAGGGCATCCCTGTCTTGTGCCAGTTTTCAAAGGGAATGCTTCCAGTTTTTGTCCATTCAGTATGATATTGGCTGTGGGTTTGTCATAGATAGCTCTTATTATTTTGAGATACATCCCATCAATACCTAATTTATTGAGAGTTTTTAGCATGAAGGGTTGTTGAATTTTGTCAAAGGCCTTTTCTGCATCTATTGAGATAATCATGTGGTTTTTGTCTTTGGTTCTGTTTATATGTTGGATTGCGTTACATGTTAGACCTAAAACCATAAAAACCCTAGAAGAAAACCTAGGCAATACCATTCAGGACATAGGCATGGGTAAGGACTTCATGTCTAAAACACCAAAAGCAATGGCAACAAAAGCCAAAATTGACAAATGGGATCTAATTAAACTAAAGAGCTTCCGCACAGCAAAAGAAACCACCATCAGAGTGAACAGGCAACCTACAGAATGGGAGAAAATTTTTGCAACCTACTCATCTGACAAAGGGCTAATATCCAGAATCTACAATGAACTCAAACAAATTTACAAGAAAAAAACAAACAACCCCATCAAAAAGTGGGCAAAGGATATGAACAGACACTTCTCAAAAGAAGACATTTATGCAGCCAAAAAACACATGAAAAAATGCTCATCATCACTGGCCATCAGAGAAATGCAAATCAAAACCACAATGAGATACCATCTCACACCAGTTAGAATGGTGATCATTAAAAAGTCAGGAAACAACAGGTGCTGGAGAGGATGTGGAGAAAGAGGAACACTTTTACACTGTTGGTGGGACTGTAAACTAGTTCAACCATTGTGGAAGTCAGTGTGGTGATTCCTCAGGGATCTAGAACTAGAAATACCATTTGACCCAGCCATCCCATTACTGGGTATATACCCAAAGGATTATAAATCATGCTGCTATAAAGACACATGCACACGTATGTTTATTGCGGTACTATTCACAATAGCAAAGACTTGGAACCAACCCAAATGTCCAACAATGATAGACTGGATTAAGAAAATGTGGCACATATACACCATGGAATACTATGCAGCCATAAAAATGATGAGTTCATGTCCTTTGTAGGGACATGGATGAAGCTGGAAACCATAATTCTCAGCAAACTATCACAAGGACAAAAAACCAAACACTGCATGTTCTCACTCATAGGTGGGAATTGAACAATGAGAACACATGGACACAGGAAGGGGAACATCACACACTGGGGACTGTTGTGGGGTGGGGGGGAGGGGAGAGGGATAGCATTAGGAGATACACCTAATGCTAAACGACGAGTTAGTGAGTGCAGCACACCAACATGGCACATGTATACATATGTAACAAACCTGCACGTTGTGCACATGTACCCTAAAACTTAAAGTATAATAATAATAAAATTAAAAAAAATAAATAAATAAAATTCAAAATTCAAATATTAATGTTATCAAAGGTTTCCGCCATCTATAATTCAAAACTATTAATACTAAACTTTTAGTATATTTGTCTTCTTTTACTTAAAGAAATAAAAGGTGTCAGAGAAAAAAAAGAAATATGATAACAGTCTGGAAAATAAATTATAAGAAGCAGAACTGATGAATCATTTCAACATACTTACCTGAAGAGTATGAATTTTGTCACATTTAAAAATAGATTGGATGGGCCAGGCACAGTGGCTCACATCCCCAAATATCATGGGGAGTTAATTTGCTCTCACAAGAAAACATGGCTTTTCATGGCTTAAGACAATAAAGATGGATTTCTCCCTCAATCGGTCGGGTCAGTAGGGGTTCGGCTCCACCTGGTTATTCAGGATCCCAAGTGATGGACACTGACCTCTCAGCAAGCGGCCCCATTGCCAAGGCGGGGGAACAGCAGAAGTGCAGAACTTCGCCGGGCGCGGGGGCTCACGCCTGGAATCGCAGCACTTTGGGAGGCCGAGGCGGGCGGATCACGAGGTCAGGAGATCGAGACCATCCTGGCTAACACGGTGAAACCCCGTCTCTACTGAAAATACAAAAAAATTAGCTGTGCTTGGTGGCGAAGCCTGTACTTCCAGCTACTGGGGAGGCTGAGGCGGGAGAATGCCGTGAACCCGGGAGGCGGAGCTTGCAGTGAGCCGAGATCGCGCGGCTGAACTCCAGCCTGGGCGACAGTGAGACTCCGTCAAAAAAAAAAAAAAAAAAAAACAGTGCAGAACTTCCAGCCACTGTTCTATGCTTTACCCCAGAGCTCCCACAAATCACACATTCCCCCTCAGCCCCTACAAATGGCTCCTGTCTGACTAGACACAAGCTGTGGCATGTGGGTGAGCACACGGGTATTCAGAGAGCATTAAATGTCTCTGAAACATCTGGAATCCTTTTTCGGAAGGTCAGAAATGCTCACACTGCACTCACTCAAAGTCCGGCTCCAGTTTTAGAGAGAAGACGTACCCTAAGAACCTTGCTCCTCCTACCTACTTCCTGGCTTTAGAATTGAAAGCCATTCATCAAATGTTCTTGTTTTTAAAGAAAAATAGAAGGTAATATTTGATTTCTCATTAAAGAGACATTGATGAGAATAGAAAGAGCTCTTGCTTTAGAATAAACAGAACGATCTGACTCTAGCTCTAACCTTTATTGCCCATGATACTGAACATTTCTGTATTTTGGGATTTTTTTTACATATTAATGAAAAATCAGCTTGTTAGGAAAATTTTCCTAACTAAATTATAATCTCCTTGAAAGCAGAATCCTCAGCCTAATGCATCTCAAGACCTCCTGAAACACCTAGCATGGCCTCCTTCATGAGCCGAGCTGAGTTACAGCTGCGTCAGGAGTCCTTTCTCCTGCTGGGTGTAGCATGTATTTGTTCTCATCAGGGAAAAGAGACAGCATCTGTCTGGTGCTGATTCATATCAAACTGCAGGTTGTAATCATAGTTTTCGACATTTGAGCTTTAGTATTTCTGATTCTGTCAAGTGGCTTCTGGATCAAACAAACTCTTACCTAGATTAGGGCATGAGGCTTTCATTATTAGCATGTTGGTCTGAAAGCTCTCCCACATTAACACTCTCAGAGGATCACTTTGACTGGTGTATTTGATCTTCGGCTTCTTAAAAAGGAGATAAAATGTTCCGTTCATTGTACTTCACACATTATCTCTGAAAATGTAAACCAAGTCTTATTTTCTTATCCAATCACACCCAACTTTCTTCACTTGGCTTTGAGACATTATTTAATCTGTCCTTTCCTTATTTCTCTATCTCCATGTGGTCCAAAGCTTGCAAAGACCTGTATGAAGGGGTAACATGGTTTGGATTAAACATGCTTGTCCTCTCAAGGAAATAATAACTTTTAGAAGTTTTTGCAACACTGCCCACATTGCCCTAACATGTATTGTCATTTTTTCCATCGGGAGGTGGGGTCTGTTCCGCCACCACGACCATCCTGCGAAACTTGACTCTGGAAAGGATTGTGACTGCTTAGACCCATGCATGTGGCAGATGTGGCCTGGGTGACTCCCAAGCTGGGTCATAAAAGAGGATCTGACTTTTGCTTGTACCCTGGAACATTCATGCTTGGTGTCATAAGCCGCCATACAGGAAAGACAATTGCTCCAAAGACACCAAGCTGTGAGGAAACCAAGCCACATGGAAAGGCCACATGTAGGCCCTCCTGGCAGCAGACCTAGTCTTTGCATCATTCCAGCCCAGACCTGGGAGTAAGTGAGACCATTCTATCCAACTATCAGGTCTTTCCAGCTAATGACCCAGATATCATGGATTAGAGATAAGCCATCATCCCTGTGTCCCTTCTGAATGCTACACTTACGGAATCAATGAAGATAACAAAATGATTGTTCTACACCTTGAAGTTTTAGGGACATTTATTGCAAAGCAAAGTAACTGGAACAGAAATCCATGCCTGTAGGCCCTGTATTGATTTGCTGGGGCTACTGTGGAAAAGTACTACAACTGGGCAGCTTACACAACACGAATATACTGTCTCACAGGTCTGAGGCCAGAAGTCCAAAATCGAGGTGTCGACAGGGTTGGTGCCTTCCAAGTGCTGTAAAGAAAAGACCTGTTTCAGGCCTCTCTCCTCAGCTCACTGGTGTCTGTCTTCTCCCTGTGTGTTTACATCACCCTTGCTCTGTATCCGCCTGCATCTACATTTTTTCCTTATTTCTCTGTCTCCAAATGCAGTCACATTCTGAGCTACTGGAGGTTAAGATTTCAAGATGTGAATTATTGGAGAGCACAATTCAACTTGAACAGGTCCCAAAGCAACTTTCATATGGTGTGGTGTCTCTGGTACCATGAAAGAAATTGTTTAAAATGATTGCATGATTTTGGGGCCAAGTTCTATCTTTCGAGTGTACACAGATACGTATATGTATTTCCGACATATGTCTATATACATGTACGTGTGTGTGTATACCTTGAAGATTTTGTGACTATTCTTCTCCTAGGAGCAGTGATGCAAAAGAATCACCCTGGATCTAGGGCGGATGAGTTCACTGTGGGCTACTCTCCACAGATTTGGGAACAGGGACAGTCAGAGCTAAGGAACCTAGATTCAAGGGTGCCTAACACCGAGCTAGCCCCTATTCTGCAGCCATTTTGGAGGGGGTTTGGCCCCTGTTCCCTTGCAATGGAGAGTCAAATTCTGTAATACTCAGACCACCTCATGAGAGGCTGTGAAAGTAAGATTTAGGAAAGTGTCAGACTCAGCTGAGCAGAATCAGACCCAGAAGACTTAATGATAAAGCAAAATTTTCTCCTCAGGAAGAAAAACGAGGAAGAATGAAGAGATCCCTGCAGAAATTCCATCAGTCAGCACCCCCCCTTGAAGCAGCAGCTGGGAACAGCACTCTGCAGGCTGGTGGTCATGACAGAGAAGCCCTCTCAGATGTAGCCAAGTAGACATCTGTTATCAACGCATTTGCAGGATTTTAGGGGCTATAAATTTCAAGAGGCACCTTCCATAGGATGATGAGAGCAAAATGGGCCCCTGGGGCCAAGAAACTGTGTGGACTGGGGAGTGGGCTGACTGTAACAGGAACAGCAAGACTTGTGAGAAAGGAACTTGTACTAGAACCCTGAGTGGATGACGCAAGAACGAGACTCCTGACCACACCTTCTGCCAGAGCTGGTCTGGTTTCCCCGCACAGTTGTGGCAACCTGACCTCCCCACAGGCTCATCCCCAGTCTGGTCTTTCCTAGACTTAATGCTGACCTTAGATAGAAAGTACTGAAGGCGGCTTTGGCCAATATCCTTGGGTTGGGCAGCACTGCCTCCTATTGTCCAGCACAGATATGGCACCGTAGGTTTCACATCTGGGCTTATGCTTCATTCCCAAGATTTATTATTAAGCTTTCACATCACTTGTGTTACCCAGAATCCAAGTCTCTCATTTGGAAACATGTCTCTCTCCTCTAGGCTGAGGTCCTGTCTCTCAGAACTTGGGTACCAGCCCCTGACTTCCCTGGGTGCCAAAACCTTGAGTCTCTCATTCGGAAACATGTCTCTCTCCTTTAGCCTGAGGTCCTGTCTCTCAGAGCTTGGGTACCAACCCCTGACCACCCTGGGTGCCAAAACCCTGAGAAGCGCTGCAAGCCCCCGGCCTGGACGTATTTCTCAACAGAGCCCTTGCTGGGCTTCAATCCTCCTCCACGTCACCTCCATTACTCTGGCAAAACACCTTCCCCTCAGCCACCTCCCACCTAACTCACTGTTCTTGCTCCTTGTCTTCCAGACACTGAGTTCCTCCTGTCAGCCCAGACTCTCGATATGAACATGTAACCAGTATCTGCCCCGTCCTTGTAAGGGGATTTGTCTCTGTTTTAACAGACTCTGGATGTGAACATAGAACCAGTATCTGCCCCGTCCTTGTAAGGGGATTTGTCTCTGTTTTAACAGACTCTGGATGTGAACATAGAACCAGTATCTGCCCCGTCCTTGTAACCGGATTTGTCTCTGTTTTAACAGACTCTGGATGTGAACATATAACGAGTATCTGCCCTGTTCTTGTAAGGGGATTTGTCTGTTTTAAAATGTAGGCTTTATGATTATTCAGATGTGGTGAGGCCAGCAGGTCAGAAGACAATACGACTGAAAAGATGGTTTGTTACTCACAGGTCGCAGGACAAGTGGGCTCTGCACACCAGAGGCCCACATGGAAAAGCACTGGGGTCACTCAGGAGGCAGAGGGAGTGAGAGAAAGACACAGGCAAGAGTCTTCATTACAGTTCCCACAGGAAGGTACATGAGGCAGGATAAGCAGGTTTAGGATTGGCTAGTTTGAATAACCTTGATGGCCCCTGGGGCTGTTCCTAGTTGTCCAGGACCTGGCCTTGAGCAATCAGGGCAGCAGAACAGTGGCCCTGAGTCTGAGAGCTCCTAAAGAAGTGGGTTGGGGGTATGGCTCTGGGTTGGTTGGTTTGCATTTGAAAGACACACTTGAAGGTGAACCCTTTACTATCTCTAGGAATTGGCTAACTCTGGGAGCGGCAGGCAAGATCGCAGATATCAAAGCATCGGAAAGAAAGACCTGGTTAATAAAGCCTCCAAAAGTCTGAGCCACATCCTGCCATGGTGAACTAGGTATACCCTGACCCATCCCAAGAAATTGTTCCTTCTGTCTTATCTGGAATAAAGGCACTAGTGCACCTCTGCAAGGAAGGGCACCAGCAAGTCTATGTATGGCCCTGATGAGGCAGGTCTGATATTGGCCTAAAAGCCCAGGTGAGGGTTTAGGCACCAAACCATCAAAAGTGTGCATTTGTTGCCTGTGTTTTGCCGCTGGAGTTATACTAATTCCTGTCGCTTTCAGTCGCTGCTCTAGCTAGGCTGGTCTCCATGTGCCACAAAACTATCATAATCACTGCTAAATCCAGGCACTTCACTTCTACTTTTTCCTCTTCTAGAGTTCTTTCCTGTCTTCTCTCTGCCTATGCAAAAGCTACCATTTTTTATAATTGGGGTTTCAGAAGAAAAAACAAAAATTAAATTCTAATGGCTCATATCCCTTCTATAAGCTGAGAACTATATGAAGGTCTTCATATATTATTTCCTTTAGTTCCGTTGGCAAGCCTGAAGGTCGAACATCATCGGCACTTTATCCACTAGGACACAGAGGTGTGAAGCCATTTAACTGACATGCTACACCAGGCAAGAGGCAAAGCTGGGAGCTGGCATCTGCCCAGTCTGACAGCAAAGCCCCCGCCCTTTGCATTCAGCAATGCAGACTCCAAGCCTCACCTCCTCCTGGCAGTTGACCTCAGTCGTCACTCCCTTCCTGGAAATCATTCAACTGTTCTTGGCAGGTCACACATTTTAGATTTTAACTATGGGTTTACTAGAAACTATTTGCCATTTAGACCACAAGCTCTTGGGAAGTAGGCATAATGTCCAACATGACTTCTGTTTCCCACAAAGTATCTTAGCGGTTCTTCCTAGATGCCTAAATGATTGACTTTTACATCTGGGACAGTTCAGTTACAATAGTCGCACTATTTTCCTTCCATTAAATGGGCAAATTGAAGACCATAAATTAAGAGATAAAAACAAACTAACCGTTCCGACTTCCGATCTGTGATGTTGAGATCTAGAAAATGCATTGCTCCGGGATCAACTAGAGCTGAGGAGGAGAAACACTCATGAAGGTCACGCCTCTGTGAACCAAGGACGGAGGTGGAGACCGAGGCTGGGTCAGAACAGCAGAGGATGTGTCCAGCACGGTTCCCTGCACTAACAAGCTTCCAGCGTGAGCAGCAAGGTGCCACGGAGCACTGCGGGGAGCAAGGTGCAACACTGCTGGGAGCAAGGTGCCGCGGGCACTGAGGAGCGAGCTATAAGAGACCGGCGCTCTCCACCGCACAGCACAGAGGGAAGGCCCAAAGCTGAGAGTGGAGCAGACTTTGAGAAACACTTTGGGGAACTGTCCCCACATCAAATACACAGGATTGCTAGAGGAATCTGAAGACTGTGGATCATGGAGGATAATTATAGGAACTACAAATCTCAAACCCTTCCCAACTCCTCACTAGATGAACACAAATGCCCACACTAAAGGCCTCGCAGATCACCCACTTCCACACACAAAAACTATCTAGCTTTGTCTCTACTGTCCTGAACAAGATGTCTGACTTTCCAACAAAAAATTACAAGGCATGTGAAAAGACAGAAAAAAAACAATGCGCTGCCAAGAGACAAAGAAATCTGCAGCCAGGTGCCATGGCTCATGCCTGTAATCCCAGCACTTTGGGAGGCTGAGGCGGGTGGATCACCTGAGGTCAGGAGTTTGGGAACACCCTGGCCAACATGGTGAAACCCCGTCTCTACTAAAAATACAACAAAATTAGCTAGGCGTGGTGGTGCATGCCTGTAATCCCAGCAACTTGGGAGGCTGAGGCAGGAGAATCGCTTGAACCCAGGAGGCGGAAGTTGCACTGTGCCCGGAATTGGTGGGTTCTTGGTCTCGCTGACTTCAAGAATGAAGCTGCGGACCCGTGGACCCTGGCGGTGGACCCTCGCGGTGAGTGTTACAGTTCCTGAAGATGGTGTGTCCGGAGTTTGTTCCTTCAGATGTTCAGATGGGTCCAGAGTTTCTTCCTGCTGGTGGGTTCATGGTCTGGCTGACTTCAGGAGTGAAGCTGCAGACCTTTGCGGTGACTGTTACAGCTCAAAAAGGCAGCATGGACCCAAAGAGTGAGCAGCACCAAGATTTACTGCGAACAGCGGAAGAACAAAACTTCCACAGCCTGGAAAGGGACCAGAGCGGGTTGCCACTGGTGGCCCCACCCACATCCTACTGATTGGTCCATTTTACAGAGAGCTGATTGGTCCATTTTATAGAGAGCTGATTGGTCCATTTTACAGAGAGCTGATTGGCCCATTTTGACAAAGCGCTGATTGGTGCTTTTACAAAACTTTAGCTAGACGTAAAAGTTCTCCAAGTCCCCACCAGATGAGCTAGACACAGAGTGCTGATCAGTGTGTTTACAAACCTCTAGCTAGACAGAGTGCTGACTGGTGTGTTTATAAACCTCTAGCTAGACACAGAGTGTTGATTGGTGCATTTACAAAGCTCTAGCTGGACACAGAGTGCTGATTGGTGTGTTTACAATCCTTTAGCTAAACAGAAAATTTCTCCGAGTTCCCACCCTACCCGGAAGCCCAGCTGGCTTCACCTCTCAATGGCACTGGCCATGGGACTTTTCGGCACCCAGCCCGGGCACTCTGGCAGCCCAGAGGGAGCTCGTCCCCGTATCAAGCCCGGTCAAGCCCAGCAGGTGCCGGCCGGCCTCGCGGAGTGCGGGGCCTGCAGAGCCGCGCCCACCTGGAACCCGCGCCCCGCGCCGGCCCGCCAGCAATGCGTGCAGCCCGGGCTCGGCCTGCGCCTCTCCCTCCACACCTCCCCGCGAACAGAGGGAGCCGGCTCCAGCCTCAGCCAGCCCCAGAGAGGGGTCCCCACAGCGCAGCGGCCGGCTGAAGGGCTCCTGGAGCGCGGCCAGAGAGGACACTGAGGCCGAGGAGGCGCCCAGAGCGAGCAAGGGCTGCTAGCACGTTGTCACCTCTCAGCACCATTGCACTCCAGCCTGGGAGACAGGGCGAAACTCCATCTCGAAAAAAAAAATAAAAGGGAATCTGCATAACTAGACTCAGGTGCGACACAGATGTTGGAGCTATCTGATAAAGAGCTTAAAATAATTATGATTAATAAGTTAAAGCCTTCAATAAAGAGGTGGATGATGTTTAAGATCAGACAGATTATTTCAGCATAGAGATGGAAACTGTAACAAATAATGTAGTTCAAATCCCAGAAATAACAGACAGTAATAGAGATGAAAGCATCTTCTACAGCCCCATTGGAAGACTTAACCGAGAAAATAATCAGTAAACTTAAAGACAGGTCCATAGAAAGTACCTAGGCTAAGACACAAATAAAAAAGACTGTACAGCAGCAGACACGGAATAATGCACCCAAGCACCGTGAGAGACTATCAAATGATCTAACACACGTATACGTGGAATCTCTAAAGAGAGAGAGGAGGAGAATAGGACAAAAGAAATAATAGCCAAGAGTGTCACAAACAGACAACAATGACAGACAACAAATCTCTGAGCCAAATAGCTCACAATACCATACAGGAGTAAGTACCAACACACACACACACACACACACACACACACACACACATACATACACACACACACAGACACACACAGAGACACATGCATACTCACAAGACACACAGAGACAAACACACATACACACATACATACACACACACACACAAGCGCATGCGCATGCATGAACGCCTATATATTTTGTATTCAAACTGAAAACAAAACACAAACAGGTAATCCTGAAGTCAGCCAATGAAACACACATTTCTGTTGGGAGCCAGCTTTCCACAGCTCTCTCCTGTTCCCGAACATCTTACAAAGTGTGTCACTGATTGCTCGTTGTCATTTGTTTGTTGTCTCCTGTCTTCTACCAGCTTCTATGAAACTACAGCAGGCTAAATTTTTAGCTTAAAAGTAGAATAAAAGTTCAGACGCTTTATAGCTCTTACAAATTGTATAACAAGGAGCACAGAAAAATTACAGTAGATCTCACATCAGAAATCACGCAATACAGAATGCAATGGGGTGACATCTTGAAAGCGCTGAAAGAAAAAAAAATATCAACTCAGTGTTTTATTCCCTGTGAGAAAATGAAGGAGAAATAAAGACTTTCTCAGACAAATAAAAACGGAGAGAAATCATTGCCAACAGACCTACATGTAAGAAATGTTAAAGGGAGTTCTCTGGGAGGAAGACATATGACACCAGACAGCAACTTGGATTTATACAAAGCAATGAACAGTGTTAGAAACAGAATAAATGAATATTGGATCTCTAGGTCATCAATACCTGTCCCAACCATCCCTAAATTTGGTCACTTGATAGCCAGCCCCCCAAGTGGTATTGAGAAGAGAGGAACAGTCCTACCACCAGGATGAGGAACCAAGACAGTGCATTAATAGTATTGAGGCCAACTGCATCATACAGTTTTAAATGCCTTGACAATAAATAGCACAAAGAATATTCAGAGTTGAAGTAATTCAAATGCAGACATGTTTCTGAGGGCATCAATTCTTGGGGCTACTGCTACTGCAAAAGTTATCCAGACTCTACCTAGAGAGGTGAGCAACATTCCTTTGGCTGAAATGAATGGAATAAGAGAAAATTGGAAAAATGGAAAAGAAAATTCTATGAAAGGGACAATTTATTTAGGGAAACTTCAACACTCTATAGAAATGAGAAATCACAATGGGAGGTGTTTTGCTTTGTTAGTTTGTATAGGTGGCAGCAGACTTAGGGTTTTTTTCTGTTCACTTGGAGCACAGACCATTTGGACTATGCCGGTTTCTGGGAAGCATGATTGGACAACATGCCATTACCAGTGTTCAGCAATATCCAGCTCTCTTCTTCTTTCTGGGCAGATGGGAGACTATGCTTCCCAGACGCTTGCAGTTAGGCAGAGCCATATAACAACTTCTGGCCCAGGAAACGGGAGCAGAAGCAATATGTGTCACTTTCAGGCCAAAGCCGCGAAAAGTCTCTCCACAGCATCTGAGCTTCTCATTCTCTTTGTCAAAGAACCAGGTCTGGTGTGGAGTTGGTAGAGCAACAGGCTAAAGCTGTATGAATTGCTGGATCATTGCATGGAGGACAGCTGCCCTGGAGAGCTGCCTGGACCCACAGAGGATTCCTATACATTTTTTTCACATTAAGCCACTGAAGAAAAAAAATACCACAGGAAATTAACAATTTTCAAAACTGTTCTTTTACCTAAAGCTCTTTTCATATCTTCAGAATATTTTCTTAGACACAACAGAAAAGAAAATTAGGAGGCAAGAATAAAAAAAAACTTCAAGACGGAAAATATTTTTAAAATTTTCATTCAGATTTTTTTTTTACTTTTAATATATCGGCAAGCATAAGGCTATCTTTGGTTTCCATGCAACTGGCATTGATCATGTTCGTGAATATAGCTAGGATACCAGGGCCAAACCGTGTGTGCTCACTTGTTTTCCTGTCTCAGAACAACATGATACTGAAAAGCGGAGTCCCTCGTGTGATGAAAACGTCTCCAGTTCGCAATCAGTTGAAAATGCAGTGGGCCCACAGCCAGAAAGCATTCCTGTGCCGGATCTTTTTTTCAGCACCCTAAATTAACCAGCTGGAATTCCCTTTTAAGTGCCAACCTACTCAGTTTTTCAGAATGCAGAACTTTTCTTTTAATGGGATCTGTCTCTCATCATAAAGGTGGAACCGTGCATTCTTGATGTCTCTCAAAAGCAGTCTTTTTTATACAGTAAGCTCAGGGAGGGTAAACACAGACGCCAGAGCACTGGTTTGAGACGGGGATGTAGCCGCTGTGCAGAGACTCGGGTAGGGCACCGGCTATCGCGGAGTGAAACCCTCAGCACAGTATCCAGGACTGCCTTGTGCAGAACAGGTCAAGATAAAAGAGGCTATTGTAAATAAATATTTAAATTAATTAAATCTATTGATGAGGAAGAGCTCCATGATGTAGGAGCAGAAGAACTGATGCAATATTTCAAAACTGAGGCTGGGCGTATTCCCGCAGTGTTCCAGGCTGAGGCTGGGCGTGTTCCCGCGGTGTCCCGGGCTGAGGCCGGGCGTGTTCTTCCGGTGTTCTTCCGGTGTTCCGAGCTGAGGCCGGGCGTGTTCCCGCGGTGTCCCGGGCTGAGGCCGGGCGTGTTCCCGCGGTGTCCCGGGCTGAGGCCGGGCGTGTTCCCGCGGTGTCCCGGGCTGAGGCCGGGCGTGTTCTTCAGGTGTTCCGGGCTGAGGCCGGGCGTGTTCCCGCGGTGTCCCGGGCTGAGGCCGGGCGTGTTCCCGCGGTGTCCCGGGCTGAGGCCGGGCGTGTTCTTCCGGTGTTCCGGGCTGAGGCCGGGCGTGTTCCCGCGGTGTCCCGGGCTGAGGCCGGGCGTGTTCCCGCGGTGTCCCGGGCTGAGGCCGGGCGTGTTCTTCCGGTGTTCCGGGCTGAGGCCGGGCGTGTTCTTCCGGTGTTCCAGGCTGAGGCCGGGCTTATTCTTCCGGTGTCCCAGGCTGAGGCCGGGCGTATTCCCGCGGTGTTTCGGGCTGAGGCTGGGCGTATTCTTCCGGTGTTTCTCACATTCTTGTTTGGGAAACTATAACGCGCTGCTCAAAGATCATCTTAATTCTGAAATACCCAAAATCAAAACGCAAGATAGTGAAGGCTATAAAACTCTCACCGTATAAAGATTAACTGATGTAATAGAGGCTTTCCATTTATCTATTCAAAACAGATTACTTGCACATCTGTTAGATGCCAGGTCATGGACTCACCTACCTCATTTATGCAGTGCATGGTATCTTGAGATACTAATACTTTGTCCTCCCTGGATTTTTTCTTCTCCCCAGTGTAGCAGAGTGGGGCATGGGCTATGGAGTCAGCCCGCTATGGCATGTTCTACCACTATACCCTCTCCAGCTATTTCACCTGAATGTTACTTAATCTCTTCCTGCTTGAATTTCCTCATCTATAAAATGAAAATCATATCAGTGAGCATTAAAGACTTAAGACATAGAAAGCATTTAGAAAAGTGACATCACAGACCTCAGTGCGACTCATTATGATTTGCTATTATTATTCTCTTCTTAGCCCTGATTCAAACTGATAGCACTTTCTTGTCTTGGAGAAAGTGTATGACAGAGGAGAAAGCGGAAGTGTTTAGGAAAGTCACTCTGAGGTAAGGGGATCATGCACACCAGTGGAAGGCTCTGAGAACATAGCTTGCCAGTGGCTCTGAACCCTCCCAGAAGCCGCCTCCTGCCACAGCCCTGTCCTTGACCAGGAAGGGAACTCTTGCTAAATACCTCATAGGCCCTGGGTTTCCTCAGCCTGCTCTCAGGGGTCTTCCCTCAAAAGCACAGCTTGTTATTCATGCTATCTCTTCCCCAGGCAACCAGAACCAGGGCCCTGTCCTGCTCTCCCTTGGATCAGGCCCCCTAGGCCACCAGGTGCTTGACTCAGCCTTAGACAGCCTCAGCTAGTTCTGGTGCAGAGCAGGTCTTTGACCTGTTCCATAAAGTCCACCGCTTTGCATAAAGTCATTCTCTGTGATCCTACACTCATTTCCCTTCCCGTTACAGGACACGTCCTCACCTGTCAGGAGTAAGCTAGAGCTGGCTTGCACTGGCTAGGGAAGTTGACTATACTAATGCCTTCTAAACTCTGCTCAGTAATGAGATGCTGATAGCTTAAAACTGGCCATGGAGGGAGTATTTACACCTCAGAAATGCAACAGATGTACATTAGAACTTTTTTACCCAGCTACCACTCTGCCTCAGACCTAGAGGCATAGAATTCCCCCACCCTCACTATCTCTGGACCCCTTGGTGTAGACCAGAATCCTGGGCCTTTTGCTTAGTTGGAAAGAAAGGTGGATAATATTCTCCTTAAATGGTCTCCCATGTAATTCCAATTTCTTCTCCACACTGTTGCCAAAGTTTTCTTTATAAAACACATACTCTAATATGCACAGTTTAAACTTTAACATGATATTCACAGTCCTTCTAATCTGGCCCTAACCTTTCTTTTTACTGCTTTTATCTTAACACATATTTATACATTCTCTTCTTGATCCCAGTGATCACTTGCTATTCCCCAAAGATTACCTGCACTTTCAGGCCTCCATGCCTTTACCTACCCATGGGATGCCCAGCCTTTACCTACCCATGGGATGCCCAGTCTTTACCTATCCATGGGATGCTCAGCCTTTACCTATCCATGGGATGCCCAGCCTTTTAGCCTTCTTAGGCCACATTGGAAGAAAAATAATTATCTTGGGCCACACATAAAATATACCAACACTAGTGATAGCAGATAAGCTAAAAGAAAAAGAAATCACACACAAAGAAATCTCATAATGTTTTAAGAAACTTTACCAATTTGTATTGGACTGCATTCAAAGCCATCCTAGGCCCCATGTGGCCTGGGGGCTACGGGCTAGAACAGCTTGACCAATACTGTTTCCTTGTCCTAGAAGGTGCCCTGTTTGAAACTGACCTCTGAGGCCATCTTCCTGCCTGTGGAGAACAGCCCTGGTACATTCCTTCTTCATCCCTTCAGTAGAACATTAGCAACACCTAATTTTAGATGGCTGTGCTCATGTTTCCTCTTCCCTGCTAAGTTTTCTGCTCCCAAATGGGCATCTGTATCTTACCTTTATATCTACTAGACCAAGATAGACCTCAGTAAAATATCCATGCTCAAAACAACATTTGTGACTAAATTAATGAAGGACTGGAAAAGCCATTGAAAGAAAACAATGGAAACAAAAATTCTTCTTTCTCTTCCCTTCCTGAACAATTCATTCCAAAGGCCATTGAGTGGGTTTGGGCAGGAAAGACAACTATGCCACCTATGAGCAGATGGGGACAGAATGAGGTGACCCCCAGCACAGTGGCAGAGCCTGGGTGGGAAAGGAGGGCAACCAAGAGGGGGCCAGGCAGGAAAGATGCCGGTGTCAGAGCCCAAGCAGGGTAAGAAGGGCACCCACACAGAACTATGTCAAAAGATACCAAGCCACCTGAAAGAGGCTCCCATAGCAAAAGCCAGAAAACAAAATCACCATTAAATAAGTAATGGTAACAGGATAAAATTTATTGAATAAAATAGAAAACCACAAATCGTCATGATGTAAATAAATATATGAATCAATTGGAGTTTGATGAGGAACCTCATGTTTTTATAGTCTCAACATACTTCCCACCAAGTATGTGCTAATTGCAAAGGAAAATAAATAACTTTAATGAATAACTTTAACTTTAGTATATTACATACTAGACAATGTTTGTGCAATAGTTTATGAACACAAAGTACTATTATTATGGCAGCACTAAATACTCCATCTGCCTGTGGAGTAGACTGGTAGATATTATTTTAATCAAGTGATCCAACTACACATTATCAGTAATGGGACATATCAAAGTTGGGCACCTCCTCTTATGATGCAGTGAGAGAAGAAAGCAAAGTGTCTCTTTTTCACGGTGTTTCCACCATGTTTTTAGTGGCATTTCTACCAGCGATGCGTATCTTGTATATAATCATGAGGAAACATCAAACAAATCCAAATTAATGGGCATTCCACAGGCATTGGCCTGTCCTTTTCAAAGTTGTCAAGATAATGAAGGTCAAGGAGAAAATGAGGCACTTTTCCAGAGTGAAGGAAATGAGAAGGCTGCGGTACTCCCTTGACATGTGGGGATTACAATTTGAGATGAGATTCGGGTGGGGACACAGAGCCAGACCACACCAACATTTAAGTGCAACAGGGATTTCCGAACTTGATACGTTTGCTATGAAGAATAATATTGTTAGGACAACTAGCAAATTTGAATTGACTCTGCAAATTAAATAGTAGAAACATATAAATATTAATTATCTAATGTTGATGATTATATTGAGTACATGTAGGAATATTCTTGCTTATAGGAAACACAGCACAGAATAGAACGATGGCGTATTAGATCAGTAATTTGTTCTCAAAAGGATGACGAAAAATCATTCTTTGCATTGTGCTTATAACTTTTAGAATAAAAACTATAAAAATTGTGTTAATGTATAAATTATTTCTAGTAACTGATAATCAGTCTTTTCTGGAGAACCAACTATACTGATTCTCTGTGTAAACTACTTTTACTAAGTATTAGCAATAAGACCTTTTGATTTTCTTTCTTTTTCTCTTGGCATATTTGGTGCATGTTTTTAATTGTAAAAAATCAAATATATGTTTACTTCATAAATATTGTATTTTTTTAAACTTCTGAGTATGAGTATAGAATTTTTATGCTAAGAAAAATAATTGCGTTTTGGTTTGGTTTCAGTGCTTTTTTTAAAAAAAATACTAGTAGTAATAGCAAAAATTAATTTCTTTAACAATCTCTTTTCCTAGATCCACATTTGGTTTTCGGATGTTTGTGAATGGATAAAAGTAGTTTGGTCCCTGTTGCCTCAGGGTGTTTTAAAACCGAAATGGAATATATCAAAGCAGTCAACCACAAACACATACACCTGTGCCCTCAGAAGAGGCACATGGAGCTAAGTGATGACCCTACGCCATGCAGGTACAAACCTGACCTCCCAGCTCCTTTGTCCAGCCCATCATCTTCCTGGGAAGCAACATGACTACTTGGGTTTCAGTTGCCCTCTTTTCCTTGATTCTGAGATTATATGTCTTCATATTTTAACATTTCTGAAATAAAGAGTAATTTTAAAATCTATGTTCAAAGAAATATGATTGCCCGTACATGTATGAGCATAGCTAAATATGTTGGAATAGGTGACAAAATTTTTAGAGCAAGGGGAGGTAAACCCATGAAGAACCATAAGACAGGCTCAAAAATACTATCTATCAACAGCATCAAGCAGTTGACCTCTCAGAGATCCATGAGTCAAACAAGGAAGGCATGAAACAACAAGTGCAGACACAGCTTTTTCGATGTGCATGGAAAGCATAGAAGCCAGTCACTGTCCTAGCGCTGAGGAGGCCTGAGCAGGAACATGGGTTGTAAGATGCAGAAGTCATTGCAATATTGCCATCATGGCAGATACTAGAAAATGATTCAGGAAAAACCTTAGACGTAGGACATGACAAAGGTTTAGACTCAAACTTCAGAACATAGCATAAATTGGCATAAGTAAACATATGCTATGGTCAGCATTAAAATTTGTCTACATTTCATGCATTTTAATGCATAAAAGCTGTATATCTTAAAAATGAGGGTGTCATAGATTTTTTTTAAAAACACCAATTCCATAGAGTTTTCACTGACACAATGACTAAAATGGCCAATCATTCTTCCTTTTCAAAAGCTAACGATAACATGAACAAGGATGGAGAAATATGGGATTTGAATTCCTAATTCCTTAATGTCTTGAATTAGGACTTAAATCTCCATAAGGAAAGGGTAGCTGAAGCATTTTCTCAAGGCAATGAGCCTGGGAAAACATGGCACTGTGCAAATAGCATGATGTCATCATCAGATGGCTTCATTCTTCAGTTTACGACTTCTCTTTCACTTCCTAATTATTCTCTTCTGTGTGTGCCAGTGGAAGACTAGGTAGGGTTTTCTAATAATGTTGTTATTAGATCTAATTATTAGATCTAATAATGTTGTTGACATAGAGTCGGCCCTCAATAAATATTTGCTGAGGGCCAACTAAATAGCTGCTAAATAAATATTTGTTTATTCATACTGACTATTTGAATAAAGCAATTGATTGAGTAGAATTAGTTCAACCACACAGAAAAGAGTGTTACTATCCCCTCTGCCCTACACGGCTTCTAACATGGAAAATGTTCTGAGCTCCATTTTCATTCTGTTTATGAGAACTTTAAGTGTCTTACTGTGGGACTGCTGAAGTTCTGTGAAAAAAATACATCTTACAGATCATATTCAACTACAAAAGAAACTTGTCAGAGAGTTTTATTCTTAAAAATGCCAAAACACCTGTTTTGAAAGCTAACCTATAAACCTTTTCCTTTGCAGATTATATTTCATTATGCTGTTTTGATTAGAACTCTGTTTTACTACACCCTAGGGTGTCAGCATGAAGAGTGAGGCTGAGATAAAATTCTGATTCATGGACTAATGAAAGTCTTGATACTTCACTTCCAACATGACCTTTATCTTCACTCTGGAGCTCTCACTCAAAGAGCTAAAAGGTCTTGCTGGGCTCAGGCATTCTATATTGTCTCTTTCTTCCACAGTCTAGATGCCAACGTTTGTAATTGTGCAGCAGATGGATATCAAAAACATACAAATTAGATACAAATGGGGTCATATTTGGCCTCTCCAACTTGGCCTATTCTTTTTTCATCAACAGCAAAGGTGCCCCGTTTCAGCATACACTTCCCATTTGTCAGTCACTGGCTTCTCTGGTTTTGGTGTCCTCTTTAATAAGGGGGGACAAGCAATCGAATCCGATAAGAAAGGTTTTGGCCCTTATTTTCTCCTGCTGATGAAATTTCCACAAATATTAAAAGAAATATTTTGGCTGTGTGGACACAATACAAAAATGCAGACTTCTTTTTTTTTTTTTTTTTTTTGAAGGACTGTATCTGGTCAAAGTCCACAGGATTGTTTTAACCTAGTCCTTGGATTAGAGAAATCATAAAACTCATACAGGACTCTTAGGTGTTTACTTCATAGTATCATTTGAAATCAGTAAGCATTAAGTCAGAAACGATGGGCGAGGTAAGGTATTATATTAAATTAAGTGGTAAAAACAGCACAGAATGTGGAATTCGAAGTTCTGTTCTTGATTTTCAAGCACTGTCCATCAGTTAAAATTAATTAGATGTGTGACTTTTTCAGAAATTTGACCTCTTCATCCTTAAAACTGAGAATATGTATTTATACCTAATAATATCGAGAACAACATAATCACTATATTTACTTCACAAGATTATTTAGAAATTCAAAGAAGATAAGATTTGTGCAATAATTTATGACCACAAAGTACTATTATTATGGCAGCACTAACTCATAAACAAGAAGCCATCACGTTTGTTGACCCTACAAAAGCACTGTACCTTCCAATAATTCTAGATACCTGGGAACGTGGCATGATTTCAGTATCCATGCTGCAGGATCATACGCCAGGGAATGCATACGATCCAAGAAGACATTCTCTTCAGTAGCAAATTCATCATGGTCAGAGGTAAAGGCACGGTTAGAAGCTAACATAGTCATGTGTAACACCATAATTAGATTGCTTGAAACTGACCTATGTCCAGTGCCAATATTTCCTAGGTTCTTTTAGGATTGTCCGTAGTTGATTGCAAATTTGAGAATATGGAATGAAGATAATATGTACCGTACACAACTTATGGGAAATGTAAACCCACAACATGGTACATTTGCTGTGAAGTCGGTCTGGATCACTTTCAAGGACTCAGAGGTGGGTAAGCCTACACAAGCCTATTCTGCATAAGTGAAAACTAACTTCAAGGAGCACCTGGTGAAGTGAGGAAGGCCTAGGGCTTGGGAGTGTTTAAACAGAAACTAAATAACCCTTGGTAAGAAATGTTACAGGAGGGGCTTAATCTTTTGGTAGGAGGTTGGGCCACCTTTGAGGGTTTCGAGTCAGTCTCTGTGACTCAGTGACGTTGCGTGTTTGATCAGTTTGTGTAACTGGACACTGCAACTAATGAAGTAAATAACACATATAAATTTAACTGAAAATTTTTCCAAGATTCAGATGTCAAATTTTATACTGTATAACTTCTCTTAGACCACTTCTGTTGACATTTCTGTAATCTAAAGACAGTATCTGCCTAAATCTTCCCCAAAAACAATAATTCTAAAGTTTGATATCCAAAGTTTAAAAAGATGTAGCAATTATTCTCATGCACTCTTAATATTGGAGGGAAATTAGGAGGCTTGAAAAATGCTCATTCCTTTTTGGCTCGGTACCTCTGGTAATTCTTCTAGGAACTTATTCTAAAAATGGTCAAAACATACACAAAGTTTATATATAAAGATACTCAATTGGGAGTTATTTATACTGGTTAAAATGTTTTGTTTTGTTTTGAGATGGAGTTTCACTCTTGTTGCCCAGACTGGAGTGCAATGGCACGATCTTGATTCACTGCAACCTCTGCCTCTGCCTCCTGGGTTCAAGCTATTCTCCCGCCTCAGCCTCCCAAGTAGCTGGGATTACAGGCACCCACCACCACACCTGGCTAATTTTTGAATTTTTAGTAGAGATGGGGTTTCACCATGTTGGTCAGGCTGGTCTCAAACTCCTGACCTCAGGTGATCCACCCACCTCGGCCTCCTAAAATTCTGGGATTACAGGCAGGAGCCACTGCACCCAGCCTAAAATTTTAAAATAACCTTAATGACCAAAAATAAGGGATTAGTTAAATTATGCACATTTATATAATGAAATAATCTGCAGCCCATTAAAAATCATGTTTTATAAAACTTTATTAACAAAAAGAAATGCTCATGATATAAATTTTAAGAATATGTCTAAAAGCAATGTATATTGTGAGATCTCATTTTTGTTTTATATTTGTATAAAAAAATGGCATTTCCTCTGGCTTTTTCTTTGTGTACACACACACATACACACAGATACACACACACACACACACACAAACACACAGGCTAGAGAAAATATGCCAAAATATTAGTAGTAATTGCTATCTCTGAATGATAGAATTAGGCATGATTGTTCTTTTATTCCTTATGTTTTCCAGAATTTTCCAATTTTCTACTATGAACAAATACTTTTGTAATAGGGAAAATCATAAGTGTTATTTCTCTTTTAAAGCTCTTCAAATAAGTTCTTCTGAATTCCATGGCTACCATTTAATTCAATAAACACATTCTGAGGATTAAGTTGGGCCAGTGTTTTATCATTACTATCAAAATAAGAGAGACTGATGGAGACAAAAAACTTCATATGATACACTTTGATGTGTTACATAATATATAATATTTAAATATAATTATATTATTAAACATAATATAATACTTAGAATAATTAAATATATAATTATTGCTGAGTTGCTCTGTTTTATTGATTGATTGATTGATTGATTGAGACAGGTCTCACTCTGTTGCCCAGGCTGGAGTGCAGTGGCACAGTCATGGCTCACTGCAGCCTCAATCTCCAGGGCTCAAGTGATCCTCCTTCCTCAGCCTCCCACGTAGCTGGGACTGAAGCCGTGAGCCATCATGCCTGGCTAATTTTTGTACATTTTGTAGAGACAGGGTTTTGCCATGTTGCCCAGGCTAGTCCTGAATTCCTGGGCTCAAGTGATCCACCTGCCTTGGCCTCCCAAAGTGCTGGGATTACAGGCATGAGCCATGACATCAAGGGGCTCTGTTTAATTTATATTCACAATTTAAAGATTTATACTATGCGATATGTAATAAGGTACTTGTATTGTTTCCCATCATATTCTATTCTTTGTACATAATCAACGTTCAATATTTCTTAAGGAAAGAAAAAAGGAAGGGAAAGAGTAATGATTAAATGTATTCCTTATAAAAATGAGTATAGTTCCCTACTATGCTATTTCTATGAAAAACTTAAATTTGACATCGCTATTTTAGCATTTGTCCTATTTTTTCAGAATATATCCCACAGAACAAGACCGAAAAAAAATGGTGATTCTCCAAAGGCCACCAGTGAAGCAGTGATGGAAGTTTGTAGATATCACCCCAAACACACTTAGGCTCCAGGAGGCCACCTCAACAAATCCTGTGTTCAGTTTGGAGATGGAGACTTTCTTCACCATCCTGACTTGCTCAGTGCGACCTTGGGAAAAGAGAAGGATGCAGCTGAGCTGCTGGTCCTGAGGTGCCTCAACTGCCTGGCCACTGCATGCAAGGATGCGGCTGAGCTGCTGGTCCTGAGGTCCCTCACCTGCCTGGCCACTGCATGCAAGGATGCGGCTGAGCTGCTGGTCCTGAGGTGCCTCACCTGCCTGGCCACTGCATGCAAGGATGCGGCTGAGCTGCTGGTCCTGAGGTCCCTCACCTGCCTGGCCACTGCATGCAAGGATGCGGCTGAGCTGCTGGTCCTGAGGTCCCTCACCTGCCTGGCCACTGCATGCAAGGATGCGGCTGAGCTGCTGGTCCTGAGGTCCCTCACCTGCCTGGCCACTGCATGCAAGGATGCGGCTGAGCTGCTGGTCCTGAGGTCCCTCACCTGCCTGGCCACTGCATGCAAGGATGCGGCTGAGCTGCTGGTCCTGAGGTCCCTCACCTGCCTGGCCACTGCATTCCTCCCGCTGCCTCCCTTGTCTCTGTGGACCCGTCAGACTGCTGCCTCTGCTGATTAGTGACACAAGACCAACAGTGGTTCTGGAGAGACAAACTACCAAATTACACAGATTTAGCACATACGTGTGGAAAACAAAAAATTCAGGGCAGAGTTTGGTTTAGGCAGACTTTTGTTAAACAAATACAGTCAAATCTGTTTCGGATGATTATCTACAGAGTTGGACGCCATGAGAAAGTCAATCCTTTCATAAAAAACATGACTCAAAAGCTCATTAACTATTTTGGAAAAGAAAAACTCAGTAAACTCATAAACTTTAATGAAAAAATTAACATATTAGGTTTTTTTAATTTAATTATATAATGTCCCTGAAGTTCCATGATATTTCTGAAGAAATTGCCTTGTATGAAGTCACACTGTTGGGGCTCAAGCTAAAAGCCATCAGCCAACCTCCATGGAAATCAAACACTGGTTTGAGTGGTGGCTTGGGAGAAATACACACCAACAATCAACATGTCCTGTCTCGGTGTGATGTACCTGAGCGTCCTGTCTCAGTATGATGTACCTGAGTGTTTGTCTCAGTATCATGTACCTGAGTGTCCTGTCTCAGTATGATGTACCTGAGCGTCCTGTCTCAGTCTGATGTACCTGAGTGACCTGAATCTTTAAGAGGCAAGAAGCAACTTAGTATGTGGTTCATGTTTTTAAGGAGAAGGGATGGTTTCTCTCCAGGGCTGACAACAGTTAACAGGCTGAAGATAACACAGAAAATAGGAAAAGCCGCCCTTCTCCTAAATGTTCCATTAAAAGTGAAAAGCTTCGCTGCTATATGCAATTGGTTTTGAAATCTCCATGACTGGAAGTCAGAAATGTTAGAAGTTAATACACTGTTCGGGGACCAAGTGGACTTCTGATGTTCAGAGAGGATGTTTTCAAGGTGAATCCAAAGCCTATAAACAAACAAAAAAAACACTCCATCAGCTATATCAGAAACTTTTTCCATTATCAGAAAACTTATCCGTATAAATTCTTCATTGCTTAAAATGACAGACTGAAAGCAAAGCCACATGTTGCTTGCTTCATTGCCTGTTGTGGCAGCTTTTAAATCCCTGCCTTCCTAGGAAGTGACCTCATAAGAAAATCTTATAAGACTGTCCTGTGGGGAAATCCTCATAACATTTGGGTTAATGCGCTTACACTGCAGGAGAGGTCACCAGGAACATCCAATCATCAGAAAGTCCTACAGGGACGTGATGTTACCTGGGTCATGGAAGGATCTCTCTCAACACACATCTGGGGTGTTTTGTGGCATATTCTATAGCAGGCCATGTGGCTTAATAGTTAAAATATGGGGCTGAAAGTTACGAGGGTTGGGGGATCATATGGCAGCTGAGCTATTGCCTGACACGCTGACCCTACACAACTCATGAGTTCGTGGTACTTCAGTCAGCTTAGCTGTAAAATTGGGCACAAAGGCCAGACTTTACCAAAACCAGATGTTGGACTCCAGCTCTGTTCCTCAACTAATATCTTTTTTTAATGTGGCTGTCAAGTCTCAATTTGTGTGTGTGTGTGTGTGTAGCAATATATATAGAAAGGCAAAGGGAAACTGGAGCTTACTCTCCGAGTAAGACTGGCAGGGATGAGCAAGGTCCAAGAATGCTGGCCCTGACCCATTCCATATCCTAGCCTCTCCCACCTGGCCAGGCTCATGTGTGTCACAGAAGTTGCAGCAGCTTGTGCACATTCAGAGCCTACTGTTTGGAGTAAGTTAATTATAACTAGAGTCATTTTTACGTATCCCTAAGAGAGGCCCTTAATGGGTATGAGTCACGGAAGAGCCACAAATCCCAGCATATAGATTCATACTGACCCTCCTTAGCTCACTACTTTTCTAGGCTGTGGGTCCCTACCACAGAAATAGTTGGTAGACATCAGTTTCCTCCTCTTGAGAACAGTAGAAACTCTTTTAGCTGACTTTCTCTGAGGCCAGCTCCCCCAGTTAGCCAAGCTCCCACTTCCTCTGCAAAGCATGCTGAATAATGCTGCTTCTGGGTCCCAAGCACCCCAGGATACGTGCTCCCCTCTCCCCTCCCAGGTGCTGTTTGGGTACCATGAGTCAGTACCAAGCCCATTTAGGACAGTTGCCATCGTAATTATCTAAAGAACTATTACTGAAACTCGAGTAAGAGTGCACAAAGAAATTTATTGTTTCCTATTCATTAAAAAACTGAAGTGATTATTTTGAAATAGCTCAGAAGGGTGAGCTCCTATTAAAAATAGTTACAAAATTACGTAAAACTCCATAAGGGTTTTGCCTTCAGGACACTCTGCAAGTATCTTTAAATTCTCACTCCATTTGAAAGAAATGGATAATGCATTAGAGTTGTGCTTTCTGGAAGGAAGACAATTAGGATTACAATCAGCCATCCCACCATGACAGAAAAGGCCTTGGCTCCATGTGAAAAGTTAGCAACAATCTATTGTATGTTTCTAATGAGCTGGAAGAGACGACTTGAGATGTTCCTAACACATAGAAATGATAAATATTCAAGGTGGTGGATGCTCTAAATACCCAGACTTGACCATTGCACATTCCATGCATGTAGCAAAATGTCCCAGGTGCCCCATAAATACGTACAAATGTTACATATTAATTTAAAAGATTGGCAAACCAATATATGTGTACACTTTTAAAGTTCAAATAATGGATGTGTATAATAGGTATTTACATGCATAAATATGTATGCCTATATTTATATATATATACATACACACACTAGCACCTACATTTTACATTTTACGTATCAAGTGACTGTTGATTAATCAACAAATAATCCTAATCTTGTCAATCAAGATAACTTTTGCACTATTTCATTATTTTCCTAATTAGTATTCTCCAATTACTAGTGAAGAAGCAAGTCTGTCGTTTCTGACTTTCTTTCTTTCAAGTGTCTCTGTCATTGGCCCATGCAGATTTCACTTGGGCTGTGAACTGAGGTTTTCAGCCCTCACTGGAGCCAGATGGCAGAAAGATTGTTGGTAGGGCTCTAAGCCAGGCAGAAGGCACCCTGCTCTGAGGCACAGCTTTGTTTAATACAACAGCTCCCCTGTGCCCAACACTCATACTGCCCCAGGAAGTCATGCCAAAGCCCAATCCTGCCAACATTCATGATGCAGAGAAGGAAGCCACAGACTAATCCAACTGGACCAAGCACCCATCTCTCCTTCACTGACTAAAGCAAATCAAGGGCCAACTGTAACATTCAAAACCAGACGGTCGACAATCCTGTCAACTGGAACAGCATATTTTAATAGAAAATATAGTTGATTCCAAAATCCAAGAGCTACCCATCTGTACTCTCAATGAGAAATATAAATAAACAAAAGGATCATGCATTTTATTAATCTTTTTGAAAACTACTGACTCTTGGCTGATGGTGGGTAAGGACTCATATTTTGTCAGTAGTGGCCAAAAAATGACAATATTTTAATAGTAAAAAACTCAGCCTGAGATGTTGTTAGGGAAAGAAAAAGATTGTCTCCCAGTTCTAGTGATCTGTAGGATCCCAGATCTAGTGATCCTATAGGAACGTCTAAGACAGTGAAACATGAAGAGTTAATGGTCACTCTTCATAAGAGGACACACAAGGAAGAAATTCTACAGACAACAGCAAAAAGAAATGCTCTTGTGGGGTGAAACTACACTGTCCATGGACTTTTACCACTGCTTTGTGGAGAATTGTTGTGAAAATATAGAATAAGTAGCTGCAGGAATTCTCTCATCAGACACTATTATGCCACCTCCCAAGTAACATTAGTGTACAGTGCAAAATTTGGAACTAAAGGAAAAAAACACTTATTTGAGAAAACATTGACATTTACAGGTAGTTACATTACATTTAGCAGCTTGTTGTTCCTTTGATCATCTATGAGCTGCCTAAAGCAGTTTGCTGCCGTATGGAAAAATCTAGACCCAGAGAACCAAAGATATTGTAACATGAGCCAGAATGACATTATCACTGAGAACACAGCAACATGCAATGAGAGGAGTCGGCCTGCCTGAGAAACTCAAGATCTCCTTGGAAATGCCTTCTTTTTCTTTAGACATAGTCACTGACTCTTTCTAGCTTGTCTCAAGGTGAGACTTCATCCCAGGTATTTCCTGTGAAGTAAGATTGTTTCACCAGAACCTGAAACATTTTTCCATCACACATTGCCTCACAGTATGTGACAATAAAATGGACTTCAGTCATGTTATTTACATGGAAGAACTGGGCTTGGCAAATTTGCTATGTTCTGTATGAAAGCAAGTATACCTTTTAAACTGCCTAAGAGTTTGATCTATTACAAATATAACAGGACAAACTCTTTTGACCCATGGTTAAACAAGCTCTCCAAGACTGGAATTTAAAAGGACATGGCATAAATTCTGTGGTGAGTTGAGACCTCTAGGTATCAAGTCTCAGCAAAGTCAGGTGTCCTTCTCATTGCCTCCCAGGTGGAGATTCAAGAATGAACATGTTGGCTGGGCACGGTGGCTCATGCCTGTAATCCCAGCACTCTGGGAGGCTGAGATGGGTAGATCACCTGAGGTCAGGAGTTCCAGACCAGCCTGGTCAACATGGTGAAACCCCATCTCTACTAAAAATACAAAAATTCACTGAGTGTGGTGGGGGCAGCACCTGTAATCCCAGCTACCCGGGAGGCTGAGTCAGGAGAATCACTTGAAACCGGGAGGTGGAGGTTGCAGTGAACCAAGATTGTGCCATTGCACTCAAGCCTGGGCAACAAGAGTGAAACTCTGTCTCAAAAAAAAAAAAAAAAAAAAAAAAGAATGAACATGTTGAGATGACACATTCTAGCATGGACCTCCCATTATGGTAGGTTATTCAATCCAGCTTAGCAACTTATTTTATCCCAGGAACAAGGGACTGAATTCTATGTGGGTCACATTTGTACAGCTAAAACCCCCCGTGATCACTGGATAATAATGCAGCCTTATGTTCTGCACGGTCTAGCTGTATATAGTGGGGACACGTGATCACCTTCTCAGGCTTGGTTTTTTTTCTGTCTAGCCAATGGACTTCAGACTGTCAGAGAGTCTTCACTTTAGACTGACTACAAATCACCTGCAGAGTTTCGTATACATACAGCTGCAGTGGGTCTAGGATGGAGACCAGATCTCCTGTGTTAAAGAATCTTCCAGGCGGTTTGGACACCAACGGGGTGTAAACCACACTGTTGAACCAGAGAGAGACGATGACTTTGAACTCTGAAGGACCATCTCAGTTCTAAAGCATCTAGCACCAGAGTCAGCCCCCAGCAAATTGAGAAACTAGACTTTGGGCTCAGGAAATACCTCCCTGGGTCAAAGTAAACCAAGTTAAGGTGGCAAATTTCCCCCCAAAGTTCTTGTTATTGTCAGCAGCATCAATAGGAATAGGGTATTTGTTCAGCAGCCCTGTTACATTCCCAAAGGCAGATTGCAAAGATCACGTGGCTGTGTCATTTAAATTTCAGAAATACAAGAGACTTGGAGCCATTTATATTAGAGTCAGTTTTGTCAAAACAATTTATGGTACATCTCACACCCTGCATGTTTCATAAAACCCTTTCTATAGAAAGGGAGATTATTGTGGACCAACCTACCACAGCATTGCCTACTACCAGTGACTGCATTTTGTGATATATTAAGTTATCCTGGTTGGAATTCTACTGTTGATTGTCTAGTGCTATATCCAGTAACAAATCACATGTATGTTATAAGACATCCAGACTGATGTGGGCTCAGAAGGCACCTGCATAAAGTTTTTCAAAAGAACAGTCATAAGTTTTACTAGATGTGACAAACCTTATAAAAGTTAAATAATGTCACGCTTTATAAGCATTTCATTTAATACAACTGAACACATGGAGGGCATTGAGGATAATATTTAATTTTTTCCATATGTGGATTTAATACCACATAGAAGTTCTAGTCCCAGATTGCTAATTTTCCACCATGTGGTAGCCATTTAGTTGTATTTTTTAAAACACTTACCAAATTACAGAGTCGAGTTTCAGAGGCAGCAGCTATGAGGAGGTTTAGGGTGCATGGTATCCCTTTGGCTTAGCCCTGGGTCTCATGAGGAGGCAGTAAATCGTGACAGTATTTTCATGGCAGCACTGACTGCTTTTCATAAGAATGAAGGTGAGTTTGCAAAGCCACATGCTAATGCACTTCTAAAAATAGATTTGATGAATGGGACTCCTTCAAATTCTGACCAGTTTTAGCCACCTATTGGAATGCAGACCAGCACGGAAGATTCAGCTTTTTCAGACGTGTCTATGAATTATAAGGCTTTCAAAAAAATTTTTACTCTGGAAAAGTGAGCTGGACCCAGAGTTTTAATTGCTCATTCTTCAAAGTGAGACTTCAGATATGTCATTTAGCCTCTTCTTTGCTTGTGTATATTTATATCTTTAATTGGGACAATAATATTTTCCTTCATTTTCATAGCAAAGAAAAGAACAGTCTTAGATAGTCAGGTTAGAGGAACAGCACCTCCCAATACCAGCTACAGTTTATCTTCTATGACCATAAACAGGGAATTGAATCTTCTAGACAAGAAAGACCAAACGTCTCTCTATTTATTCATTTTCTGTCTTATTCTAAAATAGCTTTGAGTAGCTGAATCAGCTACTCAAAGAATTTGAAGAAATTCTTAGAAAGAGACAAAACCCTATTGGCAGGGTGTTTGGGTCGGCAGGTGAAGGCACATATCATTCATGCCCAGCACCACCATCTAATGTGATCAATGCACAAGAAGGTGCCGTGAAACTTTAACGCTCCATCCAAATGTTAGTAATTATTATTAACCCAGTGAGACTGAGCAGAAACCTGGAACCACTGGTCAGAGCCGACATCTGGATTCGATGGTCAGAAATAAGGACACCACGCTGTATACCTATTTGATGATTCATGTCTGTCTGGCCCAGGATAAGAAATACCCTTTCAAAATCATCAACCCCTGGGCAGACATGTTTTATCTCCCTGAACCAATTACAGTTAATTCTCCCGGGTTCACATAGTTTGGGACCAAGTCTATTTCACACAAAACTGAATACTCCAGACAACGTACCTGGGAAAACTTAAAAATGCATACATGGGACTCTCCACGGAGCCTCGTAACACAGCGTGGGCGATGGGCATAACTGTATGACTTTCGGGTTTGCAAAACTAGCGGGCGCAGCCATCAGAGCCCCAGAGTAGGAGACTGTCCAGTGAGAGAGACTGCCTGCCAGAATTCTGGAGTGATCTCTCGGCCAAAGAGTATTTAATGGAATCAAAAGTCATACACACTTTTACTCAGGCAAAGAAAAAGTGGCATCTCGTTTTCTATGACTAATTGACCCTCTCACCCAGCCTCACGGGGCTGGCTACCAGAGGGAGTTGGAGTGAAACCCTTTCAACTTTCCATTTAATGGTGTCTCATTCTCTTACACTTCAAAAAGTCTCGTAGCAACTGGCTGTGTCTCTTGGGGTAAACATTCTGACTTTCAGGTATCCACAGCAATGGCCCAGGCAACAGGCATATGTGATGTGAGGAAGAGGCTTTGAGTCTGCATGGGTCCTTTGAGTCTTCACTAATTTCTGCTGCAGAGCCACCAGCTGGCCACGTTTCCTGGGACCTGGAAGATTCTGCTAAGGCATGCCTGGTGAGGTTGTCTTTACTTTATTTTCTGGGACAGTGCCTTGTGCGGCTGTGGGCCCTTTCCCCACCACCTCACCCCAGATCTCTTCTGTGGCCATGTCTGTCTCCTGGAGGGCTGTTTGTGGTGTGACCTTTGCAGCAGGGTCACACCCATTTACCACGGTGGCCCCTGCAAGAAAGGCCTCAGCTCCCAGCAGAGCTGGTGACCGGGGACCTCCCCTGTGCCCTCAGGGCCCCAGCAGGCTAACCAGGCTCCCTCTGCCCTGCCATAGCACATTCCCTCTGTGATCACGGCCCCATCCCACCAACGTTCAAAACAGTGCACAGGAGAACAGGCCTCCTGCCACGCGCTGTCCCTCAGCCTCGCCTCCTCTGTGAGATTTCAGCCGGGAGTGGGAGCCACGATGCTCATCCGCTGTCTACCTGCCTCTCTCTCCCTTACCTGCTGCATCTACCTGCCTCTCTCTCCCTTACCATGCTGCGATGCCTGGCTGTGTCTACCTGCCTCTCTCTCCCTTACCTGCTGCGATGCCTGGCTGTGTCTACCTGCCTCTCTCTCCCTTACCTGCTGCATCTACCTGCTTCTCTCTCCCTTACCTGCTGCGATGCCTGGCTGTGTCTACCTGCCTTTCTCTCCCTTACCCGGCTGCGATGCTTGTCTGTGTCTACCTGTCTCTCTCTCCCTTACCTGCTGCAATGCCTGGCCATGATGTAAGGGTTCTCCACCTCCTCTGCAGCAGGGAAAGGACTTCCCTAAGATCGGACTCTGGTTCCCTCCATCCTATGACTCACAATACCCCTCTGTGATCCAGGCTGGTCACAGATATGCTAATAAAGTGAAAGAAATTTAGAAAACTCATTTCCACCTCTCTAGCCCCTGGCTTTTCAGCCTGAGGTAGATTCCAAAGCAGGGGCACGTCATGCAGACTCAGGAGGCAGCTGAAAGGTGCTCCTGCAGGCCCAATAGGGGATAATTTGAACACCAAAATAATTAAGGACAGTAACAAATTACAGACCATTTACAAGATCTTGTTAATGAGTCCATGCCAATAATCAATAGGTAAACAAATCAGTGCAGGGAAAAGAAGGATCTCACTAATAGTAGAATGCTAAGCGTCAACTGGGAAACGTGAAGAAGCAACTGTCACTTCGCAGCCACCACGGTAAACTTCAGTTCAGTAACCAACAGAGGCCAAATCTAGGGGGAGATTTTCGTGTGATTTGCATGGTCTCCCAGAGATTAAAGTGATTCAAGTTACCATCAACATTGAAGAACAGATGGACATCCCGTGCCCCTAGAGAAAAACACACATCACTTCTGGCCCAGAATGAGGAGCCTGAATCTAACCACGCAGAGCCGTCGGACAAACACAAACCACGCAGACCCGTCGGACAAACACAAACCATGCAGAGCCGTCGGACAAACACAAACCACGCAGACCCGTCGGACAAACACAAACCATGCAGAGCCGTCGGACAAACACAAACCAGGCAGACCCGTTGGACAAATTCAAAATGAGAAACCGTCTCTCTTTCTGAAACGGACTGTATTCTTCAAAGTGTCCACGTCATAAAAGGCAAAAATAGGCTTCTGAAATGTTCCAGGAGGCTAGAAAAACGCATGACAATCTCTTCCTAGACTGGATCATGTACTGGAGGAAGAAAAAAGGCTGGGAAGGACTTTATGGGGTCAGTTGACAAAAATGGAACGCTGATGGTAGTTGGACAGGATCACTGTAGCAACATTAACTGTTCTAAAGAGATATCCTTATTCTTCAAAAATACACACTGAAGTTTTAGGGCCATGATGAATGCAATTTACTCTGAAATAGTACAGGACAAAAATATCAAGAAAAAATTAAAATATGCATAAAACATACATAAAAATAGAGAGGGCAAAAGTAAAAAGAGAGAGAAAAAAGCAAATAAGAGAGAAAAAGGAAAATAATGCTAAAAGTAGATTAATCTGGGTAATCAGGTGTCCTATGTACTATTCTTATTTTAGTAATTTTTCTTTAAATGTGAAACTATTTCCAAATCAAAGTTGTTGTTGTTGTTTTTAATTTCTGTCTTTCCCTTACATGTGTTGTATAATTTGGTGGTTTTATCGCAACCTGTAATTTCTGAAAATATTAGAGTGGTCTATGAATAAATAAAATAAATTTTATGATGCTTTCAAATAATCTTTAACAAGAAAAAAATACAGGTAAGGAGCAAATTAAACATTTGAAAAATAAACTACAGATTTACATATAAAAGCATGATCACCGATTTGATCAGGAAAAAAGCTAAATAGAACTGTGAAAAATGCAATATTTTTGTCAGTTTAAAATATAAAGGAATATTTTCTTTAGCTAAAATTATGCACAGAGTGAGATTATAAAACATATTTTCACATCATATTTTTTCAAAATTGTGTTTTTAATTCACAGATATTTCTAGACTGTCAAAATAGAACAAAATTTATTTCTATAGAGGATAAAGTTTCTAGCGTAAACACAACACACGATTTTTTTAGGCAGTGGGAATGCTATTGTTTTCTCTGAATTCATAGGCAAGTTATAATAACCTCCTCTTTTCAATTCTATGAAGTTTTAGAGTTTTGTTTCAGGAACTTAAAACTTCTTTTCAGATTTTTGGTGAACCTTTTACTTTCTCTCTTCAGATACCTGGTATCTTTATGTATTTTCAAAAGGGAAGCTGAAGATGTACTGAATTTAATGTTTAAATAAAGAAAATGTCTTACTATTCTAAATCTTGTGTTCTAGCAGGATAAACACTTTAAAGAAATGCAATGGAACTCTTTCAACAGAATTTCCGGGTCCAAAAGGTAGGTGGTGATTATTTTGGGGAGAGGTTTCTTGCAACCTGAAATTATGCCAGGTAAAGCCTACCCCCAATTTCTTAAGGGCTGTCCTGTGGTTATTGCCTGTCAGACAGCTGACAAATAAACTGGCTTAAAAGAAAAAACCTAAAATAAAATATGTCAAAAAGCTAAAATATAACATAAACACATAAAATGTAAAACTAACACAAAGCACAAGTTTATAAGTAGCTTTTGGACAAAGCCTGCATTTCTTTGCCACATGAAATAGAACATGAAAGCAGGATAATTCCTGCTTAAACAAAGATCGAGTTTCCTTTAGATCTCTGTGACAAAATCTCACCCACTGTCACTTCCACAAGCAACACCGTTTTCTGCGGAACTGAGGAGATGCCTCCATCTGAGCAACAATGTCTACCTTCTGACCTTCCGCACTTGAACCTCCCTGGCGCCATGTCTCCCTGAGCTGTCAACAGCACAGCACACTCCCAGTCACCCACCAAAAATGCAAAAATCTCTTTTAAAGAAAAATAGGAAGGCACAAGCTCACTGTGAGCTGGTAAACTTTAGATACATAGAATCCTTATCTGGTGACATAACTTGTAACCTGATTTGCTCGAACACCGAGAGCCATGACCAGTCTACAAGGGCCCTTCAGGGAATGAGAAAAGGTTCTCTTTAGAGAGAAGCAATCCTCCAGCACCTTCTCCAATTCTGTGGGTTCTGCTCCATGTGATAGCATCTGAAGCTGTGGTTGTCTGGGGTTCAACTGGGCTGAAATACGCGAAATGCTTCACTCATGTGATTGGCATTGGTGCTGGCCATCAGCTGTGAGCTCATCCAGGGCATCTAAGGGAGCATTTCCATTCGCTTCTACATGGCCTCTCCCTGCGTCTTGGACTTCTTACAGTATGGAGACAGGTTCCCAAGACTGAGGATCTCAAGAGCAAGCATTCCAAGAGAAATGAAGTGGCTGTCACTTAAGGCTTAGGCTTAGGAGCTCCAAATGCCATCTCTGTCACATTCTATCCTAAAGCAGTCACAAGGCCAGCTTGGATTCTAGTGACGGGAAATCTGTTCTGTCTTTTGACAGGATGGGCAGGAAGCATATGCGGAGAGAGGTGGAATGTTGTGGACCGTCTCAGGAGACAAGCTACCACACTGCACAGCTGACATTGGGCAGCCCTGCCCGAGCCCAGCGGCCTTGCTGATACCCATGTCCTCGGATGATCTGTTTTTGGTTTTGCTTTTGTTATTTTTGCTAGGTTCACAGTCAAATCAGGATAAGTCCGAACTGTCCCAAATCACCCGATCCTCAACCTCATTGTTCTGGCAGTCTAAAAAGTAATCATGGTCTGCCTACTCACATTTAAATACACATTTTAAAAATAATTCTTTCCTTAAAGCCGATCTTTAAATCAATCATCCTTCTGCATTTTAGCTGTCTGGATGCCAGTCTTATCTTTCCCCTATGGTCTTCTCATTTCCCAGTCATTATAAATTAGTGTGTCAAAAATTCACGTTGATGTAGCACAACATCATATCCATAATATAATTCATGCCTTCAATGAAAGAGTTTTGCTTCAAAGGTAGACGTCATTAGTAAGTGGTGAAATTTCACATGTGGTTAAAACTTCTTTTTGCCGGTAAAAATAAAACACTCACAAGTAATACTTTAGAGCCATTTTTAACCTCTTATAAAATACAAAAAGTAAGGCAGAAAAGGAGGAAACGATGTTTCCAATCTCTGTTTAATTTATTCCCACTGCGGGCAAATCACTTTTCCTTAGATTTACAAGTTTTCCTATAAATGTGTGACACTGCCTTTGAGTAATTGCTACCTAATAAATAGCTCTAGCTTCCTCCATGTTTTATTACTGAGAGACAAAACCTTCACCAAATAGACTCATTTCTAGTTGGGAGTCATCCTCATGGTGTCTGTGAGGACTTTGCTGGGTGCCAGGTCAGAAATGAATGAGCTTTGGCAGAGACTCTGCAGGTGGCCTAATCTAGTCCGCACGATGCTCCAGGGAAAGACGAAACCCTCTTACAAAGCAACCGTCTGTTCCAGAAAGGGGGACTATCCCCCAGGGTGGCCATGCCAGACACCTAGTGGGCTCGGATGCTCAGAGAGTAATTGGATGTCAACTGCCTGTTTAAGCACCGTCTGCCTCTGACCACCAGATATGACAAGCTGTAATATATTATTCAAAAACTGTAGAGTTAAGAGGGTGATAAGTAGAGAAACAACTACAAAAGGAATATTCTTATAGACAGACCAAGTTCTAAGAAGAGTCACATGGGAAAAAAGACATGGTTGAAGTTAGAAGGTGTCCGTAGAAGTGTAATTAACACAGTCCTGCAATAATTTTTAACATCAGAAGTGGACTATATATGTTGTCATGTTCCTTGTCCTATAGAACGCTCATATACTTCACTCTCTTTAAAGTAAGTCTGAATCTGTGTATTAATTTCATTTTTAAAGCATTTTCATATTTCCATGCAGCCCTGAGAAGACATGAGGACAGGAATTACTACTCCCATTTTACAACGAAGAAAGCTAAAACCAAAAGTCTTCTTAGATTCTGACCTCTAACATTAGCTTCTCCAAATATTCCCTTAAAGGACCAAGTCTAAGCAATTTCACAAGAAAATGAGTTTGCACAGATATTAAATTTGCTTTTTGACTGTTTTATTAAATACTCAAAACAGAATGGAAAAAGACATCTTGAAACAAATTAAAATACGGTCAGCCCTCCCTATGCATGGGTTTCTCATCCTTGGATAGAAACTCACAGACATGGAGGGTCAACTGTACTATTTTCCATCTGGCTTCAACCACCTGCAGATGGGGAGCCTGTGGACACAGAGAGCTGCCTGTATATTTGCCTCATGTGGACACTGGGAACCAGACCTCCTCCCACGTTGAAAGGAAATTATTCCATTTAAGAAGAAAACAGTGTCTTTTAAAATAAATGTAACTATTGAAAAGCACAAGGTGTCATAATTACCAGTAACATCCTTTTATGAGATAAAATGTCTTAACAGGCATCAAGAACGTAGATCAATGTCCAGCTCTCAGTGACTGCAATTATATTCAGTGACAAGATTAAGTGAAGTAACTAATCATTTACTGTATTTAAAATGCTGGCATCACAATTCGGATAATGTATTTTTAAAGGGGGATAATGCACTTTTAAGTTCTAAATTAATATTTGCAAAGAACTTAGAGACCCCTGTGATGTGCAAGTTGGATTTATACAAATGATCTGAAGGACAACGTCCACCCAGCCAAATGAGGGTAACCCTAGGGAAGGAAAGGGGTGCAAGATCGTCCTACGATACAGGGCACCAAACTGATTACTTTTGCTTGATTTTCAGGCAATCTGAATATACCAGCAGGATCCAAACTGCTCTGAAATGTGGTCTCACTGAAACAAATTGGTTTTGCCAGCAAGGTGGAAATGAATTCATCAAGTCTGTGTCACGAGCAGCCACACAGTGTGAAAACAGCCAACACTTCTCCTGTTGACTGACATCACTTCGCGGATTTAACTTCTGTGCTTCCAAGCCCAACCTCTTATATCCTCTCTCCAGGCATTTTACATTTCACTTGCCACTCTCTACTCTCTAAAAGCAGAGAAGCAGCTTTGCGAGAAGTAGTAAAATTATGAGAATAAGCTGGAAGAAATGTTTTGGATAAAGAGCTGGTAACATTTAAGGCAAATTGCTCTGGTATAAATTCAGTCCTGTACTAGCACCATCTCATAGATCACAGAGTAGCCGGTCGGTGAAGTTGATGGGATATTGATTCCAGCAGGAAAATAAAGGGCTATAAAACAAAAGATGATTAACACGAAATCCTTGAGTAAAGCAAAGTCTTAATAGACTGGGAGCTGTTAAATCAAAGAGTGGGTGAGAGGACTGGGCTTTCAGATCACTTACAACTGAATTCTTTTCATTGTGTATTAAAATTCTCCTGTGTGTTTTTACTTTCCTGTATATTATCAATCCATATTCCTCCAGTGAAAAACATCTGAAATTGCATGTGGGGAAAAGGAACCAAATCCGGGACACATCATCAATCAGAAAGAAGGAAACTCACAAAGCAATGGCAATCAGGGCCTTAAAAACCTATAAATACTGTCAGAAAATGAATATTTTTCTATTTCTTTCATTTCATTAAGTCCCACTAATGTTTCTCTACATACCACGTGCACCTCTCTTTTAATAAATTCTGCTGCAATGCACGTTACAGGTTGATTTGTTGCTTAAAATATGCAGTACTCAATGCACAGATGTACTTCTAAAATATTCTTCTAGCAAGTTTCCAGAGCCAAGTAGTTTTTTGGTCAAAATTACTCTACAAAGGAAATGCACCCCTGATTCCCTCCACCCTCTATCAACACAAACACACCACCACCACCACATCACCAATACCACAAGCACACACACCACCACCAGCACATCACCACTGCACTAGCACACACACCATCACCACCACATCACCAATACCACAAGCACACACACCACCACCACCACATCACCACTGCACTAGTACACACACCACCATCATCACATCACCACTGCACTAGTACACACACCACCACCACCACATCACCACTGCACTAGTACACACACCACCACCACCACATCACCACTGCACCAGTACACACACCATCACCACATCACCACTGCACTAGTACACACACCATCACCACCACATCACCACTGCACTAGTACACACACCATCACCACCACATCACCACTGCACTAATACACACACCATCACCACCACATCACCACTGCACTAGTACACACACCATCACCACCACATCACCACTGCACTAGTACACACACCATCACCATCACATCACCACTGCACCAGTACACACACCACCATCACCACATCACCACTGCACCAGTACACACACCATCACCACCACATCACCACTGCACTAGTACACACACCATCACCACCACATCACCACTGCACTAATACACACACCACCACCACCACATCACCACTGCACTAGTACACACACCACCACCACCACATCACCACTGCACTAGTACACACACCACCATCACCACATCACCACTGCACTAGTACACACACCATCACCACCACATCACCACTGCACTAATACACACACCACCACCACCACATCACCACTGCACTAGTACACACACCATCACCACCACATCACCACTGCACCAGTACACACACCATCACCACCACATCACCACTGCACCAGTACACACACCATCACCACCACATCACCACTGCACCAGTACACACACCATCACCACCACATCACCACTGCACCAGTACACACACCATCACCATCACATCACCACTGCACTAGTACACACACCACCACCACCACATCACCACTGCACCAGTACACACACCACCATCACCACATCACCACTGCACCAGTACACACACCATCACCACCACATCACCACTGCACCAGTACACACACCATCACCACCACATCACCACTGCACCAGTACACACACCATCACCACATCACCACTGCACCAGTACACACACCATCACCACCACATCACCACTGCACCAGTACACACACCATCACCACCACATCACCACTGCACCAGTACACACACCATCACCACCACATCACCACTGCACCAGTACACACACCATCACCACCACATCACCACTGCACTAGTACACACACCATCACCATCACATCACCACTGCACTAGCACACACACCACCACCACCACATCACCACTGCACTAGTACACACACCACCATCACCACATCACCACTGCACTAGTACACACACCACCATCACCACATCACCACTGCACTAGTACACACACCATCACCACCACATCACCACTGCACCAGTACACACACCACCATCACCACATCACCACTGCACTAGTACACACACCATCACCACCACATCACCACTGCACTAGTACACACACCACCATCACCACATCACCACTGCACTAGTACACACACCATCACCACCACATCACCACTGCACTAGTACACACACCATCACCACCACATCACCACTGCACTAGTACACACACCATCACCACCACATCACCACTGCACCAGTACACACACCATCACCACCACATCACCACTGCACCAGTACACACACCATCACCACCACATCACCACTGCACCAGTACACACACCATCACCACCACATCACCACTGCACCAGTACACACACCATCACCATCACATCACCACTGCACTAGTACACACACCACCACCACCACATCACCACTGCACTAGTACACACACCACCATCACCACATCACCACTGCACTAGTACACACACCATCACCATCACATCACCACTGCACCAGTACACACACCATCACCACCACATCACCACTGCACTAATACACACACCATCACCACATCACCACTGCACTAGTACACACACCACCATCATCACATCACCACTGCACTAGTACACACACCACCATCACCACATCACCACTGCACTAGTACACACACCATCACCACCACATCACCACTGCACTAATACACACACCATCACCACCACATCACCACTGCACTAGTACACACACCATCACCACCACATCACCACTGCACTAGTACACACACCATCACCATCACATCACCACTGCACTAGTACACACACCATCACCACATCACCACTGCACTAGTACACACACCATCACCACATCACCACTGCACTAGCACACACACCATCACCACCACATCACCACTGCACTAATACACACACCATCACCACATCACCACTGCACCAGCACACACACCACCATCACCACATCACCACTGCACTAGTACACACACCACCACCACCACATCACCACTGCACCAGTACACACACCATCACCACATCACCACTGCACTAGTACACACACCACCATCATCACATCACCACTGCACTAGCACACACACCATCACCACCACATCACCACTGCACCAGCACACACACCATCACCATCACATCACCACTGCACTAGCACACACACCATCACCACCACATCACCACTGCACTAGTACACACACCATCACCACCACCACATCACCACTGCACTAGCACACACACCACCACCACCACATCACCACTGCACTAGCACACACACCATCACCACCACATCACCACTGCACTAGCACACACACACCATCACCACATCACCACTGCACTAGCACACACACCATCACCACCACCACATCACCACTGCACTAGCACACACACCATCACCACCACATCACCACTGCACTAGCACACACACCACCACCACCACATCACCACTGCACTAGTACACACACCATCACCACCACCACATCACCACTGCACTAGCACACACACCATCACCACCACATCACCACTGCACCAGTACACACACCATCACCACCACATCACCACTGCACCAGTACACACACCATCACCACCACATCACCACTGCACTAGTACACACACCATCACATCACCACTGCACTAGTACACACACCATCACCACATCACCACTGCACTAGTACACACACCACCACCACCACATCACCACTGCCGCTAGCACTGCCACTACCTCAATCCCACTAAATATTATTACTCCGGAAGCTCCTTTACCCAGGAAATCAGGCATTCTTCAAGACTTCATGGTTTCATTACACAAGGAAAGAGGCAGCTTTTGTGAAACAGAGTCAGAACTATTAGGGAAGTAACTACAGAGCTTACTGTGTCCAGTCAGCCATGCAGAACTGAGAGTTAAAGGGACAGCATTACGAGTCCATGTGCCTGCGTTCCAGAGCAGAAACGCTCATCACAACTGAAAATTGCAAGTTCCTACTGATGGAAGGACTTTTTTCCATAAGACCTCAAAGGCCCTGCAGTACCCTCAGATAAAAATTAAACATTTGGAAATATTAAAACTAGGTTTGCATTGAGTCTTACCTTGGGGGAGCTTCAGCGGAACTATTGATAAAGACAAAATAATCCTTGCGATGACTCTAATCGTTACCATTCTACACAAAATATCAATGACCGAAAACACCGTTTGACATGGGCAAGATTGTATGAAAAGACTAATTATACAAAGCAAGTCGATTCAACTATTTACTTTCCCAATGTTTCTCTTCTACCCATTTCACGGGAGTTTTCCCTTGACCTCTGTGGAATATCATGAAACGCCAAATCCAAGTTTCGTTCTTTGGACATACACCTCTCTAATTTAATGCAGGGCTGCCCGACACAGCAAATAAAATCATAGACACCTCATTAAATTCTAATTTCAAAAAACAATGAAAAATACTTTAGTGTAAGTATGTCCCATGCAGTATTTAGTAAATACTTACAACTTTTAAAATTATGTGTTGTTTACCTGAAAATCAATTTATCTGATGTTTTGGGTTTTACCTGGTAACTTTAATTTTACTCTCTGATGATTTACATTGTATTTTAGAACTTGCTCCATCATTAAAGAAAATAAAACAGCTGTCAGGGATAGAACAGCTGGAGAAATCACAATTTGTGAATGAGAAAAAGTACATGAAGGCCCTTTACAGCCTTATATGTGTAATACCAGTAATTCCCAATGGGTCATGGCAAAAAAGAGGGAGGGGAGAATTAGAATCATTGAGGAACGTTTACCTGAGACTAAAACCACTGCATTGTACAAATATTATGCAGGTCTTTCCCATTTTTATTTTCATCTTGGAGGGCGGTGGTTATAGGCACCAGCTTTGGAGTGAGACTGACCTGTTGAACCATGGCTCTGCCTCTTCCTAGCTGTTCGATCCTAGACCAGGCATTTAACCTCCCTAAGCCTCTACTTTTTCATATTTAAAATGAAAGCGGTGATACCCATCTCATGTGGTAAGAGAAAGCACTGATAGCGGTAGTCCTCTTTCTAAAGCACTGGAACATGACCCGGCTTAAGGTGAGCCCTCTCTAATTGAATGCTGTCATTCTTGTCATGTTGTGCAAATGTTTTCACCATGCCTGTTAGCAACAGATAAAGTTCCCTGGCAATAATCGTCACATAAAATGTTCCACCTACTTTATCTAGGAGTCAGCTGGGGTGCAAATGAGAAGGGCAAGCAGCCACTTGTAACTTGCAGAATATCAGGCTCTACAGGAGCATTTATTCTGAAAAAAGTCAGGACTCCAGGGAAAGTCAAGCTCCATTCACAGCCGTTTCTCTCCTCATCTGTCCTCGTGCTGACTCTCTTTAGAATCTCTCTGGATGGAATTCCTTCCCAACTCCAATGGACAGAAGCAGTGAGTCCGTCCAGTCGGTAAGTCAAACAGTCCTTCGATGACTCCACTCCAGGGTGTGCTCTGTGTGATCAGAACAAGTGCTTCAGCCTAACACACCTACACATTCGAAAAGGTTTCACACAGCCTCGTTCTGCTCTTAGACGCCAACACTCCCCACACCCAATCTACCACAAAATAGAACAACAGAATCAGCCAAACGCCCTCTCCACGGAGGCGAAGGACACAGGGTCAGCCAAACCCCCTCTCCACCGAGGAGAAGGACACAGGATCAGCCAAACCCCCTCTCCACCGAGGAGAAGGACACAGGATCAGCCAAACCCCCTCTCCAGCGAGGAGAAGGACACAGGATCAGCCAAACCCCCTCTCCAGCGAGGAGAAGGACACAGGATCAGCCAAACCCCCTCTCCACAGAGACAAAGGACACAGAATCAGCCAAACTCCCTCTCCACGGAGGCGAAGGACACAGAATCAGCCAAACTCCCTCTCCACGGAGGCGAAGGACACAGAATCAGCCAAACTCCCTCTCCACAGAGACAAAGGACACAGAATCAGCCACATCCCCTCTCCGTGGAGGCGAAGGACACAGAATCAGCCAAACTCCCTCTCCGTGGAGGCGAAGGAGCTGCTGCAACTGACGGAGGGACCGTCCAATTGCTTGGAGGGTCCGTTCAGCCTGTGTGGGCCAAACCTCTCTAATCATTGACCCTGGAGGCTTATATTGCATTTTCAGGCATATTACCTTATTAGAGGAAACAGGACAGCTGCTTCCCTGAAAGAAATACGGGCAAAGCTCAATTTGTGAAGTGTGTTTCATTTCAAAGGCTGTAGCTTACAGGCAACATGGATTTTGCAGGACCAACTTGTAATGCAGTTTCAAACCCACCCAAAATCTGGAGTTTCTCTTGAAGATTTTTACCTTTCTAACATACTTAAGGAAGTGAAGAATTACTCATAATATTCTTTGCTACCTACAGTGCCGGCAGGTGCCAGCACTGTTAAAACTGCTGTAGGTGGCGGGTGCTTTGCCCCCTGTGCCCCAACACCACATGAATATTTTCCAGCTGATCACTTTTAAACTTTTAACAGACACCTAGAATTATGCCGCTGAAGAGCAAATAGATAAGTACACAACCTCTTGAGGTTTCTTACAGAAAGAAAAAATGTTTTCCTAGGACTTAGTAGTGAAAACGCTTTTGCAAAAATTTTGACAATGAGAGGACTCTGACACAGAAACATTACGACGCAAAACAAATCTGACCTAATCGGGTCCATCTTGCCTCTAGCCTCCAAGCTGCCCTTGCTCATCCTCGAGTGTAAGCCACACTAACTATGGGATCGAGTCCATCTTGCCTCTAGCCTCCAAGCTGCCCTTGCTCATCCTTGAGTGTAAGCCATGCTAACTTTGGGAGGAATTTAGGTAATAGTTTAACTTTGAAACAAAGATGATAACAGCCTTCCCTGAAACAACCCCCTCCTTGCCTGGGGACCAGATGACCTTTGGAAAATTAACAAATTAGCCACAAGATTAGAAATTATGGCTCAGGAATCATGCAACCGGAGGCCACAAAATCACGGACCTCTCCAGTTGTTCCTGTGGATAACATTACTATTGTAACCCTAAGATTGGTGTTCAAGGTGTTTTCAGACGCTGAATTTTGATGGACCAGCTGGCACCACGTAGAAGGGTAAACTGGCTCATCTGGTATTGTGGCCCCCACCCAGGAACCAACTCAGCACAAGAGGGCAGCTTCAACTCCCTGTCATTTCTTCTCCAACCCAGCCAATCAGCACTCCCCATTCCCTAGCTCCCACCCCACCAAACCAGCTTTCAAAAATCCTAGCCTCTGAATTTTCAGGGAAGTTGATCTGAGTCATAAGAAAGCTCCAGTCTCCCTTTTAGCTGGCTCTACGTGTATTAGACTCTTTCCCAGTTGCAATCCCCCAGTCTTGACAAATGGGCTCTATCTTGGCAGTGGGCAAAAAGAACCCCTTGGGTGGTTACAGTGGTCTGTTTGTTTCAAAGGCACTCTCATTTCCAAACTCACTAGTAGAGAACACCCACACATGGACAGATGCACACCCTTTGTTTTCATGGCATTCCTAAGATGCTCTTTCAGAAACCATCCTTTCCCCTGGTGTTTATGCAGAGAAGGAGATGACTAGATGGTAGACATATTACACCTGCACCTTAGTGGTACCCATCCTTCCATCCTCCACATTCCCCTCCAGAGTGCTCCCTTCCTGGTCCTCTCACTAGTCCTATATTCAATACAGAAACAGGGAGAACAAAGGGTGATGGCAATTCTTGTCCTGTGAATTCTGCCCTCTAGCCCTCTGTCAATGTATCCAGCAGCAATGCTCAGAATGTCTAGGGGACTAATCTATCACCCCTTCAAGTGCACAGGTTAGGAGTTGGATAATAATACTTGTATCCCTTAAAAATTATCAATAATTTTGATTATCTTCAAAATTTAAGGTCAAGAATGCTAAGATCAGAAGGATCTCCCAGGCCCACCACTAGGCAGTGGTGCAGGGCTTTAAATAACATGATCAAGATCCTTGCTCATGAGGCACAGGCACTCCATGTATAAAATGTCTGAATTTTAGATTTTCAAGGTGTGTAAACATGTTAAACCACATACAGGTATTTTTTGGTATGGTGCAATTGAGATTGTAAAATGCCTAATATTTGCTGATTACTTCTTTATATTTAGTGTATCATGCCTTTTAGATGAATGCTGAAATTTAAAAGAATACTTTTGACCAGAGATGGGCAGTAACGCATCTTAAGTAGCATAGAATATCCCTGAATTTAGAAACAAGTAGAGGTGGCTTGTAGCAAAGTCACGTTTTAAAAACAGTGAGGAGCAACAGTCCTTAACCTCTCTGATCAGAAATACAGGTCTTATGTGAAAAGAAAAAAGGAAAACAAAAGGTAAAATCTCCAGAAAGAAGGAAGACGCCGAGAGCATCTGGGACTGCCTTGTTAACACAGCCTTGGGAATGCTGTGATGTACTTTATTGCAGGGATGGCACAGACATCGAATACATCTAACTATAATCACATAGCTACTGGCTCTTTAAGTTCATAGTGGCTAATATTAAAAAGAAAAAACACTCTTCCAAGGAGGTCATTGGCTACAAAGTAGATATTTTATATCCTCCTCAAAAATCAATTCTCCTTCAAAGCAAATTTGTCCACCCAACCCTCTAATCACGTAGTTGGCTCTCCTGGCAACCAGCCCCATTCTGAAGCTATCTAGGGACCCATCAAGGGTCCTTACTGTAAACTCAGGCACAGTTGTCAGTGGTTTATTATGAACAGCAAAAGATGGTCCTCCCACCCCGTCTCCCAGAAAATTACAAGGGCTGTGGGAACTCTGTGCAAAGAACCTGGGACAAAGGTCAAACACATATTTCTTAGGATGCGGCAGATCACACCACCGTTGAGCACTACGGCGACTCGAAGCAAGAAGCTTTCGTCTGAGCCTACTAGGAATGAACACACCTTGTCACGACATTGAGATTCAGGCACCATGTTTAGCCTACGGTGGGAAACGAGAAACGTGGGACCTAAAAGATTGGGTTTCTTTTTATCCTATCCTAACAACAGGCAATCACAGAGTCAGTATGCTGGGCACTGCAATGGCATAACATCAAACAAAACTCGCGTACTCAAGGACCCTGTTCTACTCTGTGGATCAACAGTTGTGGTAAGCAGAAGTACAACAAATTGTAACTTTTTTTTTTTAGATGGAGTCTCGTTCTTGCTGCCCAGGCTGGAGTGCAGCGGTGCAATCTCGGCTCACTGCAACCTCTGCCTCCCCATTTCAATAGTGCTCCCACCTCAGCCTCCCGAGTAGCGTACACGTCACCACACCTGGCTAATTTTTGTATTTTTAGTAGAGACAGGGTTTCACCATGTTGGCCAGGCTGGTCTCAAACTCCTGGCCTCAAGTGATCCGCCCACCTCAGCCTCCCAAAGTGCTGAGATTACAAGCATCAGCCACCGCACCCAGCCCAAATTTTCTTGATAGATCTAATCCGTCAGTCAGAAAGAGAGTTGTTGAATACTGAACCCACCTTAAACACTAGCAGGGTGGACAACTGTGAGATTCATGTGTTCATTGCTCACATACTCTGAAGTTCCTACGCTGTGTCGCCTACTAGGTGGTGCGTTCTGAAGGGTGGCAACAAAGTCTCCCCTGCAGCCTGGCAATAGCTTGTAGATCCTATACCCAGCCCCAGCTGCAAGAAGCTGTTAAATCCTAGGCCCAGCCGCAGCTGCTGGAAGGTGTCTCACTGCATTTTTCAACATTTGGGCTGCGTCAGCCACCTCCAGCCACACACCCACCAGCACTCACATGTGCAGTCACCTGGAAATCAGAAAAGTATTCTCACTCAGTCCCTGAAACAATTTAAAACTGCGTGACTTGTCTCCAGCGTCGGCCATAATCAAACGGCTAAGTTGGCAGCGTGGTTGTACTTTGTCATGTTTTCCCTTGTCCTCCAGCCTGACCCCCTCCTACCCCACATCACTCCTCCCAAGCTGACCACCAGGGGCCCTGCCAGGTGCAACTATGCCCCCACCTTTTAATATTGTTTTTTGAGACAGGATCTCACTCTGTCGCTCGTGCTGACTTTACATTTTTTAAAACTCTTTCCCTTGCTCATTTCCCTTCTTCCCTCCACTGCATCTGAAACCTGCCCAAGGTAACAGCTAGTTAATTTCAGATGAGATTGAGGAATTCTGCTTGACTTCTTCAGGTCGTATATTTGCATTTGCTGAATGCATTCTCAGCAAACAAGCCTTATGCAGTTTGCTTTAGGTGGTGCCTGTTCCAGCACACACAAGCCATGAGAAGTTCAGAAAGCAAGTGGGGTGGAGGCGGCATGGTCAGCAGTTAGGAGCACCAGCTCCAGAAGCAGGTGATTTGGGTTAGAATCTGCCCCACAGCTTACTAGTTTAACAATTTCCCCTCTCTGTGCTCAGTCTCTCATCTGCAATTGAGAGCCATAACACCTAACTCAGAGGATTGTTACAAATATTAGATGAACTGATACAGGTAAGAAGCTTAAAACAGTTCCTGCTAAGAACACAATCAATGTCACTTATTATGTTACTATCAGTAAGACGGACGACATAATTTGCGAGGCCCAGTACAAAATGAAAATGCAAGGCCCCTTGTTCAAACTTCGTTAAGAATTTCAAGACCAAAGCCACAAACCATTAAATCAGGTGCAGGGTCCTGCTAAGCATAGAGCACTTTTGAGCGCACGGCCACACATTCACAGCACCAATCCTGCCTCCCAGCTTTAGAACAAAAGCACCTTATTGCCCTAAGATCCAGGGAGTCTTCTGGGTGATCATTGAGAAAAAAATCCTGGAAACGCATCTTTTGTTTGCCTCTGGGAGAGTGGGGACTGGCAGGAAAACATAGGTAGCACTTTCCAAAAATACAAATAAAATTGGCCCAGTGCAGTGGCTTAGGTCTGTAATCCCATCACTTTGGGAGGCCAAGGTGGGTGGATCTCCTGAGGTCAGGAGTTCAAGACCAGCCTGGCCAACATGGCGAAACCCCGTCTCTACTAAAAATACAAAAATTAGCCGGGCGTGGTGGCGGGCATCTGTAATCCCAGCTACTTGGGAGGCTGAGGCAGGAGAATGGCGTGAACCCGGGAGGCGGAGCTTGCAGTGAGCTGAGATGGCGCCACTGCACTCCAGCCTGGGCGACAGAGCGAGACTCCGTCTCAAAATAAATAAATTAATTAATTTAATTAAATGTAAAACCCCCCACCCCCCAAAACATCCCACAGTAGGTTCTGCAAGTGGCTATCTCTTGCACAGCTTTTTGATGGAAGATCAGGAACAAAAATCACTTCGCATATTTCACTAAAACTGCTCCTTCAGTGATGAAATCTTACAAGAAATCCATGTTGGTCATTCACCATAACCTCCTGCAAACAAAAGCTTTTACTACATAAAAGGAATGTTGGGACAAGAAAGTAGATTTGTAATAAGTTTGCATTGCATGTGAGATTAAAAGAAAAGATGGCTCTTTAGATTAATTTATTGCTAAAGGCATAACCTTTACTGTTTAATGTTGTGTTTCAATTGCCTGTCAAACTGTCAGAAAATAGAGCCTGAGTCCACAGCTACATAAACCAGTTTTACTTTCACCAGCAATTACAGTTTTTTAATCTTTTTTACCAGTTCATTTTCAACCTCTTTTTATTTTATCACTTGCAGTCAAATCTCAGCAATTTACTAATACAAATGTGATCAAATGCCTTCCATTTATCTTAAAGATCTAAATTCTGATGAAATAAGACTATGTGATCAATACGAATAGCATCCTGTATCCAGTCCCAGACCCTTGGTTGTAAATCATGATAGGACAGTGTCTTCCCAGAGGCTGAATCACCGGAACCAGTTCACATTGCTTAGTACCAGATCACAAAATCTTCATGAGTCATATTACTTTTTCCTTTTTTCTTCACTTCACATCTTAGTAAAAACACATTCATTTTCCAAACTCATCATTTCCAGCAGCATTCATTTCAACCATAATTTCCTGGACAATCTATTCATTCAGGTCCCTTTTTTGGAGTTTGTATTTGACTACGCTGCACTAAAGCCTGCCTTTTTTTAGAACTGTGCTCATCGGCTACATAACCCCTGAGAAAAGGTTAATATATCCCCTTAAACATTCTTAAGTGCCAAATCTCTCCTATTCCATGAGCTTAAAACCATATCAGGTAATTTCAGATCACTTGAACTATGGTTCCGTGCTGTGTCCCTCGGCTCTCTCCCATTCTCCGTGCCCTGTCCCTCGGCTCTCTCCTATTCTCCGTGCCGTGTCCCTCGGCTCTCTCCCATTCTCCGTGCCGTGTCCCTCGGCTCTCTCCCATTCTCCGTGCCCTGTCCCTCGGCTCTCTCCCATTCTCCGTGCCGTGTCCCTCGGCTCTCTCCTATTCTCTGTGCCGTGTCCCTCGGCTCTCTCCCATTCTCCGTGCCGTGTCCCTCGGCTCTCTCCTATTCTCCGTGCCCTGTCCCTCGGCTCTCTCCCATTCTCTGTGCCGTGTCCCTCGGCTCTCTCCCATTCTCCGTGCCGTGTCCCTCGGCTCTCTCCCATTCTCCGTGCCGTGTCCCTCGGCTCTCTCCCATTCTCTGTGCCGTGTCCCTCGGCTCTCTCCTATTCTCCGTGCCGTGTCCCTCGGCTCTCTCCCATTCTCTGTGCCGTGTCCCTCGGCTCTCTCCCATTCTCCGTGCCCTGTCCCTCGGCTCTCTCCCATTCTCCGTGCCGTGTCCCTCGGCTCTCTCCCATTCTCCGTGCCGTGTCCCTCGGCTCTCTCCCATTCTCCGTGCCGTGTCCCTCGGCTCTCTCCCATTCTCTGTGCCGTGTCCCTCGGCTCTCTCCTATTCTCCGTGCCGTGTCCCTCGGCTCTCTCCCATTCTCCGTGCCCTGTCCCTCGGCTCTCTCCCATTCTCCGTGCCCTGTCCCTCGGCTCTCTCCCATTCTCCGTGCCGTGTCCCTCGGCTCTCTCCTATTCTCCGTGCCCTGTCCCTCGGCTCTCTCCCATTCTCCGTGCCGTGTCCCTCGGCTCTCTCCCATTCTCCGTGCCCTGTCCCTCGGCTCTCTCCCATTCTCCGTGCCGTGTCCCTCGGCTCTCTCCCATTCTCCGTGCCGTGTCCCTCGGCTCTCTCCCATTCTCTGTGCCCTGTCCCTCGGCTCTCTCCCATTCTCCGTGCCCTGTCCCTCGGCTCTCTCCTATTCTCCGTGCCGTGTCCCTCGGCTCTCTCCTATTCTCTGTGCCGTGTCCCTCGGCTCTCTCCCATTCTCTGTGCCGTGTCCCTCGGCTCTCTCCCATTCTCCGTGCCGGGTCCCTCGGCTCTCTCCTATTCTCTGTGCCGGGTCCCTCGGCTCTCTCCCATTCTCTGTGCCGTGTCCCTCGGCTCTCTCCCATTCTCCGTGCCGTGTCCCTCGGCTCTCTCCCATTCTCCGTGCCCTGTCCCTCGGCTCTCTCCTATTCTCCGAGCCGTGTCCCTCGGCTCTCTCCTATTCTCCTTGCGTGTCCCTCGGCTCTCTCCCATTCTCCGGGCCGTGTCCCTCGGCTCTCTCCCATTAAAACGTGCCGTGTCCCTCGGCTCTCTCCTATTCTCCGTGCCGTGTCCCTCGGCTCTCTCCCATTCTCCGTGCCCTGTCCCTCGGCTCTCTCCCATTCTCCGTGCCCTGTCCCTCGGCTCTCTCCCATTCTCCGTGCCGTGTCCCTCGGCTCTCTCCTATTCTCTGTGCCGTGTCCCTCGGCTCTCTCCCATTCTCTGTGCCGTGTCCCTCGGCTCTCTCCCATTCTCCTTGCGTGTCCCTCGGCTCTCTCCTATTCTCTGTGCCGTGTCCCTCGGCTCTCTCCTATTCTCTGTGCCCTGTCCCTCGGCTCTCTCCTATTCTCTGTGCCGTGTCCCTCGGCTCTCTCCCATTCTCCGTGCCGTGTCCCTCGGCTCTCTCCCATTCTCCGTGCCGTGTCCCTCGGCTCTCTCCCATTCTCCGTGCCCTGTCCCTCGGCTCTCTCCCATTCTCCTTGCGTGTCCCTCGGCTCTCTCCTATTCTCCGTGCCGTGTCCCTCGGCTCTCTCCCATTCTCCGTGCCGTGTCCCTCGGCTCTCTCCTATTCTCCGTGCCGTGTCCCTCGGCTCTCTCCCATTCTCCTTGCGTGTCCCTTGGCTCTCTCCTATTCTCTGTGCCGTGTCCCTCGGCTCTCTCCCATTCTCCGTGCCGTGTCCCTCGGCTCTCTCCTATTCTCCTTGCGTGTCCCTCGGCTCTCTCCCATTCTCCTTGCGTGTCCCTCGGCTCTCTCCCATTCTCCTTGCGTGTCCCTCGGCTCTCTCCTATTCTCCGTGCCGTGTCCCTCGGCTCTCTCCCATTCTCCGTGCCCTGTCCCTCGGCTCTCTCCCATTCTCCGTGCCCTGTCCCTCGGCTCTCTCCTATTCTCTGTGCCGTGTCCCTCGGCTCTCTCCTATTCTCTGTGCCGTGTCCCTCGGTCTCTCCCATTCTCCGTGCCCTGTCCCTCGGCTCTCTCCCATTCTCTGTGCCGTGTCCCTCGGCTCTCTCCCATTCTCCGTGCCGAGTCCCTCGGCTCTCTCCCATTCTCTGTGCCGTGTCCCTCGGCTCTCTCCCATTCTCCGTGCCGTGTCCCTCGGCTCTCTCCCATTCTCCGAGCCGTGTCCCTCGGCTCTCTCCCATTCTCCTTGCGTGTCCCTCGGCTCTCTCCCATTCTCCTTGGGTGTCCCTCGGCTCTCTCCTATTCTCCGTGCCGTGTCCCTCGGCTCTCTCCCATTCTCCGTGCCCTGTCCCTCGGCTCTCTCCCATTCTCCGTGCCCTGTCCCTCGGCTCTCTCCTATTCTCTGTGCCGTGTCCCTCGGCTCTCTCCTATTCTCTGTGCCGTGTCCCTCGGCTCTCTCCTATTCTCTGTGCCGTGTCCCTCGGCTCTCTCCTATTCTCTGTGCCGTGTCCCTCGGCTCTCTCCCATTCTCTGTGCCCTGTCCCTCGGCTCTCTCCCATTCTCCGTGCCGTGTCCCTCGGCTCTCTCCTATTCTCCTTGCATGTCCCTCGGTTCTCTCCTATTTTCATATTCTCCATCCTGTGTCCCTCAGCTCTTTCATGTTTTCCATGCTGTGTCCCTCAGCTCTCTCCTATTTTGGTTGACAAGAATAGCATTAGATTAATTTTCAGCTTTCAAAAAAAAGAGACAAACTTAAAATTTTTTAATATACCTCTTATAATTCTCAAAAACTACATTTTTTAAAAAATGTGCCTCTGGAATCAAATGATTTAAAAGTCTAATTTTTACACTTTTAGTAAATAAAACTAGTAAAGAAATGTACTCTTCTGTGGTCTTTAAAACTCCTCTTAGCAAGCTGTTTTTATAAATAGGCTGTCCTGACTAATGATTCTTGGGCTATAAGGTGGCGTGCCCACCTCCCTCCCATTCAGTTCTTGGGCACCTTGTCTCTGATGAGAAGATCAATAATAATTAGGAGATGATTTTTAAGTTTACTTAAGTGCACTGCAATTCCTCTGGCTTCTTTACATAACTGTGAATGATGGTGACCCTGAGACAGGACGCTGGGGTTCATTAGGAGAAGTGACACCTGCCGTATAGTCACACATGCCCGCCCTACCCCAGTTTCATGCAGTGCTATCACAATGGCTGTGAGGGGGTGTATATCCTTAATTCCAGACCACAACTACTAGCAAAGCGACTGGGGGTCCACAGTCATGCAGGGGAAAGCACAGGACTTGGAGAAGTGGTGGCCAAATGACTAACTCAAGGCTGGTGGCCCACAAATCTGTCTTCAAATCCATGACAGGGACCCTTAAGGGGAATAGAAAAGACAATTGTCAATGAGAGTTGTATGCCTATCCCCCAGCACCCTGTGGACTTGCTGAGAACAAGGGCCTTGTTTTCCTCGCCCTTTGTGGCTGACACGGTGCTGGACACAGCTGCAGCCTATAACTTAGGGTGATTCGATCAACGATCTTGTCTAGAGTGGGAGATAGCTGGGAGCTGTGGTGAAATAAGAACATGAAAACGAAGGTTTTGTTAGCAGAGAAAGGTATGGAAGACAGGCCTTAATGGGAATAACAACAGGAGATTGCTGATATCTGAGGGATTGATGGGAGTGACAAGAAAAAAGAAGTAAACAAGCGGAGTCATGGGAAAGGCACCAAGGACAGGTTTCTTAAAAAGAGCTCTGAAGCTCACCAGTAGCAACAAAATGGTGGCATATTAAAAGCTGAGACAGTTTCAACCAAGGGGGTGTTTAATCATCATATATGGGAAGTGCTAGAATAGTTTCTGGTGGGGAATCCATTTTTTAGTTCAAAATTGATGTTGACCTCTGAACATCTAGTCCCAATCAACAACCCTTGAAGCTTCAGCAGACACTATGTCAAAGGCTGCTTAGAGAAGACATCCAGGAGACACTATGTCAGAGGCTGTTCAGAGGAGACACCCAGCAGACACTATGTCAGAGGCTGTTCAGAGGAGACACCCAGCAGACACTATGTCAGAGGCTGCTCAGAGAAGACACCCAGCAGACACTACGTCAGAGGCTGCTCAGAGGAGACACCCAGCAGACACTACGTCAGAGCCTGTTCAGAGGAGACACCCAGCAGACACTATGTCAGAGGCTGCTCAGAGAAGACACCCAGCAGACACTATGTCAGAGGCTGTTCAGAGGAGACACCCAGCAGACACTATGTCAGAGGCTGCTCAGAGAAGACACCCAGCAGACACTATGTCAGAGGCTGTTCAGAGGAGACACCCAGCAGACACTATGTCAGAGGCTGCTCAGAGAAGACACCCAGCAGACACTATGTCAGAGGCTGCTCAGAGGAGACACCCAGCAGACACTATGTCAGAGGCTGTTCAGAGGAGACACCCAGCAGACACTATGTCAGAGGCTGTTCAGAGAAGGGACCCAGCAGACACTATGTCAGAGGCTGTTCAGAGAAGACACCCAGCAGACACTATGTCAGAGGCTGCTCAGAGAAGACACCCAGCAGACACTATGTCAGAGGCTGCTCAGAGAAGGGACCCAGCAGACACTATGTCAGAGGCTGCTCAGAGAAGGGACCCAGCAGACACTATATCAGAGGCTGCTCAGAGAAGGGACCCAGCAGACACTATGTCAGAGGCTGCTCAGAGGAGACACCCAGCAGACACTATGTCAGAGGCTGCTCAGAGAAGGGACCCAGCAGACACTATATCAGAGGCTGCTCAGAGAAGGGACCCAGCAGACACTATGTCAGAGGCTGCTCAGAGAAGGGACCCAGCAGACACTATATCAGAGGCTGCTCAGAGAAGGGACCCAGCAGACACTATGTCAGAGGCTGCTCAGAGGAGACACCCAGCAGACACTATGTCAGAGGCTGCTCAGAGAAGGGACCCAGCAGACACTATGTCAGAGGCTGCTCAGAGAAGGGACCCAGCAGACACTATGTCAGAGGCTGTTCAGAGGAGACACCCAGCAGACACTATGTCAGAGGCTGTTCAGAGGAGACACCCAGCAGACACTATGTCAGAGGCTGCTCAGAGAAGGGACCCAGCAGACACTATGTCAGAGGCTGCTCAGAGAAGACACCCAGCAGACACTATGTCAGAGGCTGCTCAGAGAAGGGACCCAGCAGACACTATGTCAGAGGCTGCTCAGAGAAGACACCCAGCAGACACTATGTCAGAGGCTGCTCAGAGGAGACACCCAGCAGACACTATGTCAGAGGCTGCTCAGAGAAGGGACCCAGCAGACACTATGTCAGAGGCTGCTCAGAGAAGGGACCCAGCAGACACTATGTCAGAGGCTGCTCAGAGAAGACACCCAGCAGACACTACGTCAGAGGCTGTTCAGAGGAGACACCCAGCAGACCCTATGTCAGAGGCTGCTCAGAGAAGAGACCTAGCAGACACTATGTCAGAGGCTGCTCAGAGAAGAGACCCAGAAGACACTATGTCAGAGGCTGCTCAGAGAAGGGACCCAGCAGACGCTATGTCAGAAGCTGCTCAGAGAAGAGACCCAGAAGACACTATGTCAGAGGTTGCTTAGAGAAGGGACCCAGCAGACGCTATGTCAGAGGCTGTTCAGAGGAGACACCCAGCAGACACCATGTCAGAGGCTGTTTAGAGAAGACACCCAGCAGACACTATGTCAGAGGCTGTTCAGAGGAGACACCCAGCAGACACCATGTCAGAGGCTGTTTAGAGAAGACACCCAGCAGACACTATGTCAGAGGCTGCTTAGGCAAGAGACCCAGCAGACACTATTTCAGAGGATGTGTAGGGAAGACACGCAGCCAGAAGGGTTTGGTTATTGACAAGATAAAATGACCAACCTGTGTTTTTAGGATGCATTGTATGAAATCACCTTCCTTAGAAATATTTGATAAAATATGCCATCTTTTATGCTGAGCAAAAGATATCAGACACAAATGAATACATATTGTGTGATTCCACTTATATGAAGTTTGAAAACCAGCAAAACCAATCTATAGGGACACAGAGCAATTGGTGGTTTTCTGGGGCTGAAAAATTACTGGTGAAGACTGACTGACAAGGGGCAAGAGGGAACTTCTAGAGTTACAGAAATGTTCTACACCTTGGGTACACCAACACATACATTTGTCAAAACACACTGTACTTGATCTTTAAAATGTAGGCCTTTTGTTGTATATAAATTATATACCTCTTAAGTTGATTTTAAAAAAAACTGTCTTTACTTAAATTTAGACTTTGAAACCCTTCAGAAAGTCCTAAAAATTCTGTACAATTAGTATTGAACACTAGGATACACATGGGCAACCAATCCTAGACAGCTCAGCACAGGACAAACAGAAAGGTCATCCTGCAACATGCAATCTAGATGACGAAGAAAGAGAACTCAAATGAGACACCTCAGAGACCTCTGTTCTCCAGTTCTGGCTCTGATTTTCATGAATTACAAAGTAAGGAAGATTCAGAGTTAATAGCATAGCCACAATGTAAAATATATTTAGTTTGTTGAATATTAACATTTTACCATAACTATAATGTACATTTAGTTTGTTGATCATTAACGTTTGTTTCCTGTATGAAAAAAATGTATGCATATATAATTCTCGTTCTACATCTAGGTTCATTCATTCTATCTACTAATCCTTTTATGGCCTTTTAAAAGCTGGTTAAGGAATTTATAAGATGACTGTCTAGACCAGAGGAACTCAACTGACAATGGAAGTGATGATTCTGGCAGCTAAGCTGGGTAGATCTTACTCTTTACAGACTGGTGTTTCAAAAGGTCTTGCTCCTGTCGAGGGGTGAGTTACTTCACCTCTAGTACAAGCCCAAGGTATCCTAAACCAAACAGCACTAACAGGGCCCACCCGTCTCTGGGCAGCAAAATATTTTTGTTTGTTGGTGTTGCTATTTTTGTTTATAAATGTGTCGATTTTGTCTAATCTGTAGACCATTCTTTACTGAACATGAGGAACAAGGCATCTTTCAGATGTAGCAGAGTTCAGTGCAAAAGCACTGAGCTGACTAATAATTTGGAGACTTGGGTTCCAATACTGGTTCATCATTAACCAGAGGCATTGCTTCAGGCAAGTCAAGGGACCTCTTTAGATCTAATCTATAAACTAGGGGAAAAAGAATAAATGAAATATAAGAAAAGATTCCTTTAGCTATAAAAGTTTATGATTCTATATGTCAAAACCACCAGAAAATCTTAGACCTCACCTGGAACTTTAAAGACCAGAGTTCCCTACGAAGGGATTCAGGACCCTTCAGGACACATATAAACTCACAACAATGGACCTCATATGCCTGGAGGCTTAATTGACCTAGGTTGTTGCAAACGACCAAGCTTCTTTCTCTTATAAGGCTGAATAGAATTTCATTGTATGTGTATAGACCATGTTTTATTTATCCAATCATCTGATGGTCACTTAAGTTGATACCGTAACTTGGCTATTGTGAACAGAGCTGCAATGAACACGGGAGTGCAGACATCTCTCTGGCATAGATATGGGTTTTGTGTCAATACACACAAGCGGGATTGCCAGGTCATATGGTAATTCTATTTTTAGTTTTTTGAGGAACCTCCATACAGTTTTCCATAAAAGTTGTACTAATTTACATTCCCAAGAACAGAGTACAAAAGTTCTCTTTTCTCCACATTCTCACCAAAACTTTTTAATCCCTTCTCTCTTTTTTTTTAAATAGCCATGTTGAGAGGTGTGAGGTGCTGTCTCATTGTGGTTTTAACTTGCATTTCCCTAATGATTAGTGATATTGAGTTTTTTCTTTTTACATATATTTGTAGGTAATTTGTATATCTTCTCCTGAAAAATGTTTATTCAGGTCCTATGCCCATTTTTTAAATTAGTCTTATTTGTTTTCTAGAGTTGTTTGAGTTCCGCATGCATTTTGGATATTAGCTTCTTATCAGATATGTGGCTTGCAAATATTTTCTCCTAATTTGTAGGTTGTTTCTGTTGTTTCCTTTGTTATACAGAAGCTTTCATATTTCATGAAATCCCATTCATCTCTTTTTGCTTTTGTTGCCTGTGGTTGTAGAGTAAAATTGAAAATGTAATTGCCCAAACCAATTTCATGTAGTTTTCTCCCTATGTTTTTTTCTAGTAGTTTTACAGTTTCAGATTTTATGCTTAAGTCTTCGACCCATTTTGAGTTAATTTTTTCACATGATATGAGAAAAGGTTTCAATTTAATTCTTCTATATATAGATATCCAATTTTCTCAAAAACATTTATTAAAGATATCCATTTTATATTGTGTATTCTTGGCACACTTACGATCTTTTGTAATTTAGTTTTATAATTGATCCTTTGCAGAACCTGGAGAGGTGCTTGTGGTTTTGACTTGGCTGATTGCCTATTTAGAGTACAATTCAGTATGTTCTTCCAAACTCTGCTTCTGCTGCAAATTGTTAACTGAATCCAGAGGTTTATTTGACAAGACTATACCTGCTAGCATGTTCTCCCATCAGGAATCACATACTATCTAGTTGACTCTATCTCTTTTATGTTGGCAGTCTTTAATGCTCAATGCCTAGATCAGGGGTCAGTAAACTCCAGCCACTGGCCAAATTCTGACAATCAACTGTTTTATTTGTCCTATGAATGCAGCCAGACTCATTTATTTAATAATTATCTATGGATGCCTTATTGAAAATCAATTGTTCATACATGTGTTGGTTCCTTTCTTGGCTCTCTATCCTAATCCATTCATTGATGTGTCTGTTTTTCTTTTTTTGTTTGTTTTTTGATGTGTTTATTTTTATGGCAGCACTAAGCTGATGTAGTAGTATAGTTTGAAATGAGTAGTGTGATGCTTACAGCTTTGTTCTTTTTGCCCACGATTGCCTTGGCTATTCAAGGTTTTTTGCAATTCCATGTGAATTTTAGTTGTCTTTTTATTTCTGTGAAAATGGCATTGAAGTTTTGAAAGAGATTATATTGAATTTGCATATTGCTTTTGGTAGTATGTACATTTTAGCAATATTAATTCTTCCAATTCACAAGCATGGGATATCTTTTTCCATCTCTTCACTTTTAGTCTATATGTGATATATATATATATTTATTATACTTTAAGTTCTAGAGCACATGCGCACAACGTGCAGGTTTGTTACGCATGCCTATATGTGTTTTTAAAAGTAAGATGAGTATCTTGTAGGTAGCATATAACTGGGTCTTGTTTTTAATCCATTCAGCCACTCTGTCTTTTTATTGGAGCATTTACATTCAAGGTAATTATGAATGTTAAGGACTTACTACCTCCATTTTGTGAATTGGTTTCTGATTGTTTTGTAGATACTTTGTTTCCATCTTCCTTTCTTTCTGTCTTCTTTTGTGGCTTGATGATTTTCTTTAGTGGTATACTTTGAATTCTTTCTATTTTTGTTTTGTGTGTCTACTGTAGATTTTTGCTTTGTGATTAGTATGAAGCTTACATAAAACATTTTACAAGTGTAACAGTCTATTTTGACAGTTCATATAATTGTTATGCTATAACAGTTGTAGGTAGTCAAAGTCACACAACTCTCCACTGTTATCTCCCTGATATTTTACGTTTTTGATGTACGAATTTACATTTTATAATATCTATCCCTTGAAAATGTATTTAGCTAAGTTTTATTAATAATTTTGTCTTTTAACCCCCATACTAGGAATAAAATTGCCTTACACATCATCATTACAGTCCTAGAGCATTCCACATATGATTCTTTATTATGCCATTGAGTTTTGTGCATTTGTACATTTTCTGTTAATAATTATTGGCCTTTTATTTCAGCTTAAGAAACTCCCTTTAGCAATTCCTGTAAGGCAGGCCCAGTGATGATGACCTCCTTTGGCTTTGGTTTGTCTGGGAAAATTTTTATTTCTTCCTCATTTCACAAAGACGGATTTTCTGAGTAAAATATTCTTGGTTGGCTATTTTTATTTTCCTTCAACATTTTGAATCTATCATCCCATTATCTCCTGGCCTTCAGGGTTTCCATTGAAAAATCTGGTGAGAGTCTATTGAGACTATTCTAGGTGCTGTGTGGCTTTTTATCTCTTGCCACTCTCAGAATTTTTTCTTTGTCTTTTATTTGTGATAGTTTATTATGTGTCTTGGTAAACTCCTCTCTGGGTTGAATTTGACTGGAGACCTCTGTGCTTCCTATACCTTGATATTGGTATATATCCTCATATTAGGAAAATTCTCAGCCATTATTTTTTAAATATGCTTTCTTACCCTTTTTTGTCTTTCTTCTCTTTCTGGAATTTATATTATGTGTATATTCAGTCTCTTGAGGGTGGCACATATTTCTGCAGGCTTTCTTCATTCTTAAATTTATTTTTTTTAATTTTTGCTACTCTGATTGGATAATATCAAATGTTCTATCTTCCAGTTCACTGATTCTTCTTTTAGCTTGATCAAACCTGCTGTGGGAGCTTTCAGTTGCATCTTTTCAGTTCAGTCATTGTATTCTTCAACTCTTGAATTTCTGTTGGTTTTTAAGAATTATTTCTATTTCATCGAAGTTCTCATTTTGTTCATGTATTGTTTTCCAAATTTCATTTAATTTTCTATCCCTATATTATTGTAGTTCATGATCTTCTTTAAGAGGATTTTTCTAAACTCATTGTCTGTCATTTTATAAATTGTCCTTTCCTTGGGGTTCATTGTTAAATCTATTTTAGTTGATTTTTCTTTTTAGGGGTGTCATGATTTCCTGAGTCTTTGTTACCCTTGTAAGGACGTTATCCTTCTATCCTTACATTAGTGTCTGCATATTTGAGGTGATAGCCACCTTTTCCAGTTTTTGCAGGTATTCTTTGGCAGGAATAATTGTCACAGTGTAGTGTAGCCTGTGGTTCTGAACACATCAGCTCATAACAACCCTGAATATGTAGAGCTTATTTGGGGGTTCTTTCATTGATGGTGTGCTGCCTTTTCTGTGAGTTTGAATGGGGCAGCTGGCTGGGATCTGCTACCCAAGCAAGAGCTCAGCAAGACCACTAAGCTGAACTCTCCAGTGAGGATGGACTGCTGGATGGGCACTGCAATTTGCCTCTGATTAGACTGGGCCATGAAGTGTAGTATTCTCTGGCCAGTTGGTACCTCAATTTAAAGTCAGCAGTTAAACAGGGTTGCAGAAAGCACTCTGAGGTTAGGTGGAGTCACTGACTAGGATGGATGGGACCAGCTACTATGCTCGGTAAAAATGCACAGTTGAGGTTTGCCTACCTGCTTAAGTGAGGTCTTGGGGTGGGCTTTGAGACTAGGCTGAGCATTATTTAAACTCCTGGGTGTGCTAGGTCAAGTCCTAGCTCTTTGCTGAAATTTGCTGCGGTGGTTGTCCCCTTCCTTGGGTGGGATATGTGTGTGGGCTTTGAGGCCATGCAAAGTACTATTTAAACACTCCTCGGTGTGGCCAGGCATGGTGGCTCACCCCTATAATCCCAGTACTTTGGAAAGCTGGGACAACAAGATTGCTTGAGCCCAGGAGTTAAAGACCAGGCTGGGCAACATAGTGGGACCCCGTGTTTACAAAAAGTTTAAAAATTAGCTAGGTGTGGTGGCATGCACCTGTAGTCCAAGCTGCTTGGGAGGCTGAGGCTGGAGGATCACTTGAGCCCAGGAAGTCGAAGCTACAGTGAGCTGTGATCACGCCACTGCACTCCAGCTGAGGTGACAGAGTGAGACCCTATCTCAAATGAAAGTGATAATAGTAATAAACTCCTGAGTGTGACAACACTAGCCCTGGATCTTTGCCAAAATTTGCTGTAGTGGTTATCTCCCTCCCTGGACATGTTCTCAGGGTAGGGTCTGAGGCTGGTCATCTAAGGATTCAAGCCAGGTAGAACTTCCCACCGCTTCTGAGGGTGACCAGCTCAGATTTGCAGGTGGGTATGGTGTTAGCTGGTACTATTGATTGGGTGCTACTGCTGGCAGGTGTGCAGAGCTACAGCCAGGATCTGTCTGCTTGTCACTGTGGACTCTGCCTCCTCGCTTTGCTTCTATCTCACCCAAGGTGGTCTAGCCATGCCATTTCCCCTCTGTTCCTCCTGAGGTGAGACCAGAGTGGGCTTCCTGGGAAGCATCTCAGAATGCTAGGGAAGCTTCATGTCTGCCTCTGATTCTCCTTTTGCTCTGTAGGAACTGTAGTTTCTGGGGAATTCCATCTGCGAGGTGCTGTGCTGACTTAGGGGAGGAGGAGGAGAGACATGGTCAACATGGGATTGTTTTTCTTACCCTTTAATGTAGTGTTTATTCCTTTCTGGACCACACAGCTGACTCTGGCTTATTCCCACATGTTAGGGTTTTCACCAAGGTATTCTTGTCTGCAGGTGTTTGCTAGCTGAACTTTCTGTGTGTGGCAGGCGGCAGGAGATGGTAGTGAAGCCAGGGTCCTCTTATTCTGCCATCTTGCTGACATCACTCCAAATCACAATTATCAATTTTGCTGAATGCAAGTTACAACTGTAAAAACATTTCCAGAATTTTGAGAGCACATAACATTATTAGACCATCTAACGGATTTAAGGACCATCCACAGTATTCCATAAGCAATAGATCAAAATGTCATTTTAGCAAAGTGGCATTTCCACGTGGGGTCGCCTATGTGTTTTCTTACTTTCTTCAACACTGTTGCAAAGTTTACCTACTAAATGAGGTTAGCTAGAATGAGTTCTTTTTTTAATGGAGTGGCAAACATAGTAGCTGTTTCTTCCATTATATTCTCTCATAACTCTTTGGGCCCTGGGGCCACAATTATTTGTGACATGTTTGGATTTATAGAATTGTACTCTTCATAATTTAACTGTCTCAGGGCACAAGCACAGAGAACGCAGTCAGGAAATAAACATAGTCTAAAAGATGAATTTGTGATCTGCTCTGAGGGTCAGTAAGCTAGCCCTCTGCCAAACCAAGGCAGGTAGAGAATTCCGTGATGAGGCCTGAAGAACCACATACTAGAAGAAATTTTGTACATTGTTACCTCGAAGATCCCAAATGACCCTAAATATTGCCTGTAATTCAGCACGAAATGACAAGTTTATGCTAATTTTTTAAAGAAAGCACATGCTTTAGAATACGTTTAGTGAATGTTTCTGCTCTCTTGGTATAAACAGAGTACTGAGTTTGAACACTGAACCAACCTAGTCATTAAGCATTTCAGCAGTACCTGCTATAAGTAACCGGTGAAATAACACTGACTGTACTAACATATGACATTTCAAGTGTATTTCAAGCAGAGCTTGAATGACGGGTGATTGCTCTTTTAACACTGTGGCATTTATTACTAACCTGTCAGAAAGCTGCTTAAATAAGAATGATTGGAGCAGCATGTCTAACACTCTGGCCTTAATATAAAAACAACTTGAAAATAGGCATTTCTCTTTTTGTATCCATCCTTCTAATTACAAGCCTAAAAAGGTGTTTTCCTTTCTTCAAAAATATTTATGGCATACCCACCTCTGTGCTGGTAGTTGGGAAACAGAGAAGAGTGAAACAGGCACCTCACTACCTAATGGGGTTATAGTCTGGCAGAGAAGACAGACATTTCAAAATCATCTTACAAACAAGTCATAATCTGTGATAAATGCTATGAAGGCAAAGAAAGTGCAGAAACAAAAATAAGGGGCGTAGTTTAGAGACGGATGGGGGAAACTGTTATGAAAGAGATCTTCGAGGAAGTGAGATCTGATAAGCAGTAGTTATTCAAGCAAAACTCAGGTGAGTCTCTTAGGCAGAGGGATCAGCATGTACAATACTCCTGGGTCAGACAAGAGCTTGTTCAAGAAACTGTAAAAAGGCCAGTGAAAGCAATGACAGCAACCTGAAGCTCGAAAGTAGAGTGGAAAGATGAAACAGACACCACCAGCAACGCTAATGATCTTTTACTTTATACTAATTATAAGGGGAAGTGTATTTGCTCTGCAACATCAATCAGCTCGCTTCCAGGCCTCCCTGTGAGAGCACTTGCGTTTCCGTTCCCTCTGGTCTGCTGTACCAGTTTTCTTCACTAGCTCATTCATTTACCAGTGGGCAACCATAGCAAAACTATCACAAACTGGGTGACTTAAACAACAGGAATTTATTCTGTCTCAGTTCTGGAGGTCAGAAGTCTGGAAGCAAGATGACAGCATGGTCGATTCCTACTTGGGGACTCAGAGAGAGGAGCCGTCTCACGCTTTCCTCCCAGCTTCTGGTGGTTGCCGCCAGTCCCTGGCATCCCCTGGCTTGTGGCGTTGTCAATCCAGCCTCTGCCTTCACGGTCGCATGGCTTCTCCTGGAGTGCCTCTGTCTCTGTGTACACGTTTCCCTCATAGAATACCACTGTGGGCTAGGGCTCACCCTAAGTCAGTATGAGCTCATGTTACCTTGATGATATCTGCAAAAATCCTATTTCCAAACAACGCCATAGTCAAGGTACCAGGGGTTAGGATTTAAACAAGTCTTTTTGAGGGATACAATTTAACCAATAACAGAAGGCTATTGAAGGATTTTTACCAAGGGAGTGATATCGAGGCAGGAAAACAGGGTCTGGAACTTAAGGCCAATTTGTGCTGAATCGAGGAAAAACACCAGGGTCTGGGGGCCAATTGGTGCTGACTTCTCAAAGCTGGATCAAAAGGAGGACACCTGGGTCTGGGGGTAGGGAACCTAAGGCCAATTAACACGAACTTCCTAAAACTAAACCAGAAGGGGAAATCCCATCTCCCCACGCCGAGCAGCAAAGGATCAAATCTCCCTACAGCCCTCCCGCTTCCAGCACATCTCAGATGGAAAGAGAGAGTGCCCTGATTGGCCAAGCATGGGCCACCCCTTCCTCTGCATAGGGCACCAATTCACCTCAGCCTTTAATTAGCCAGGAACCAAATCCTTCATCCAGACAAGAGGTAACTTATAGGAGCCTCAAAAGGGGTACTTAAAACCCGGAAAACTGGCTCCTTCCCCCGCCCTGTGGAGTGCTGTCTTGCTTCAGTGACTCCAGCTTTCACACCTTGTGGAGGGCTGTCTTGCTTCAGTGAATTCAGCTTTCGCTGCTTTGTTCTTGTGTCTCGTTCCTTTGTTGCTTTGTGGGTTTTGTCCAATTCTTTGTTCAAAACACCAAAGAACCTGGACAACTGACACTCAAGGCCCTCCTTCCAGTAACAATATGATCCTATTTTCACTTAACATCACTTTAGCTACTTGACAGAAAACGGATCGGAAAGAGTCAAAGAAGAAGGGTGAGATGGATTGAGAGGCTATTTTGGATTCCATTTTGGTAGACGTGTTCTGAAAAATTTTCGTCATATTTATAAATATTATATAAATAAATATTTCTAAATATTTAAAACATTTAGCAAGGCAAGAAATAATAATAATATAATTAACTTTAAAGGGCATAAAAATATTCACAGGCCAAAAAATAAAAAGAAGACTTAAACCCCGAACGGTGAGCTATCACTGCGGCTGTGGAGTGATCAGGCAGCAGCCTCTGGGCCTGAAGGCTTGCATTTTGCATGATACACAGGACAGGAGGAGAGGCATGATCTCAGCCCAAAGAGGAAGTTACAAATAAGGTCTCCAAATAAAGCCAGCGCCCACAACATTGATGTAAATGTTTATATACTTTCTATAGATTATATAGAAAGACATAAAAATATAACTCTCTATATATATCCATCCACTGGTTTAAAAAGATGACAAAAGGTGACCAAAAAATGTCATCCTTAGTTTGGACTCAAAGTGACAAAAATAGATGTTTTTCATGACAACATCTGTACAGTTGACACGCTCTGGAGTTGGGTTTAAAATCATACCACGCAGTAACTCCAGGAAAGTTCAAACCGAGAAACTATTTTACACAACCTTGAGTCAGGAATGCCCAAGAAACAAAAACACAAATTCTCTGCGGAAGGTGCACCCTCAACATAAACCTTGACAGATTCTTGCACGTAAAGTCCAAACACTTAAATGTGAGCTTAATCCAAAATATGTTTTTGAAAAAGCAAAATACAAGAGTTAACGGAAACAACCAACAGCAGAAAAAACCACCAAAGACTTTCAAGTATAAAAATATTGGACACAAATTATAAAATAAGTATTTTTAAATTATCCAAAAAAGAAATTGAAATTATGAACTAGAAACAAAATGCTATACCAAAGAAAACAGGCTATTTGAAAAAAGAACCAAAAAGAACCTCTCAAACAGAAAATGTAATCACTCAAATTAAAAATTCAGTAGGTAAGATAAACAAAAGATTAATGTAGCTAAGAAAATGACTTATACAGAAACTACTAGAATGAAGCTCAGAGACATAATGGAGATAATGAAATGCAAAATATGAAAGAAGGTGAAGATACAAAAAGATCAGCCCTCAAAGACACAACAGGTTCTGAAGAGTGGCCAGAAGGCGAGGATTGGCCAAGCGTGGTGGCTCGCACCTGTAATTCCAGCAGTTTGGGAGGCCAAGGCAAGTGGATTGCTTGAGCCCAGCAGTTCAAGACCAGCCCAGGCAACATAGCAAAACCCCATCTCTATAAAATTAAAAATTAAAAATGAAAAAAATAGGAGGTGAAGATAGGGAAATAAGAGAAACCAAACATTTCTAAGCAGATTAGATGAAAAGAAACCCACATCTGGGCACAAACTTCAACTTCGGGCCACCAAAATTAAAAAAAAAAAAGACCTTAAAAATAGCCAGAGTAAAAAGTTTACCTTCAGTGAAATAACCGTTATATGAAAAACAATTTTTTCCAACAGTATCAGTGGATCCAGAACAAAGCACTAGCCTAAAATTCTGACAGAAGATAGCATCCATCTCAAGATGTTTGCTCAGCAAACTATTGTGTCATAATTAGGACAAAATAAACACATTTTAGGCAAACAGAATCTATGTTTAATATAATCAGACTCTTGCTAAAAGAATTGCTAAAGGAAGGTCGGGCGCGGTGGCTCACGCCTGTAATCCCAGCACTTTGGGAGGCCGAGGTGGGTGGATCACGAGGTCAGGAGATCGAGACCATCTTGGCTAACACGGTGAAACCCCGTCTCTACCAAAAATACAAAAATTTAGCCGGGCGCGGTGGCGGGCGCCTGTGGTCCCAGCTACTCGGGAGGCTGAGGCAGGAGAATGGCGGGAACCCGGGAGGCGGAGCTTGCAGTGAGCCGAGATCGCGCCCCTGCACTCCAGCCTGGGCGACAGAGCGAGACTCCGTCTCAAAAAAAAAAAAAAAAAAAAAAAAAAAAAAGAATTGCTAATGGAAATACTTCAGATAGAGTAAAATGATTCCATAAAAAGGGTCTGGGATGAAAAAAGGAACAATAAACCAAGAAACTGGTATAAATGAAATAATAAAAACACTGTAAATATGTGGAGGCAGAATCTAAATAACACACAAAAATACAATGTAAAGCAGGTGGCAATTGATGAGAATTAAGATACAGCATTGCTAGGAAGGAGAACAGATTCATTTTGGATTTTATTAAGATTAAGAGCAGCCACAGAATGATTTAAAAAAGGGTTTATGGCTTCCAAACCAGTAGAGAGGGTAAAAATAATTTTAAAATCAAAATTCAGTCAAAAAGGAGAGAAAGAAAGAGAGAAACAGAGAAAGAAAGAAGGAAGGAAGGCAGGCAGGAAGGGAGAGAAAGAGGGAGAAAGAGGGAAGGAGGGAGAGAGGGAGGAGAGAAAGAAAGAAAGGGAAAAAGAAAGAAAAAAGGAAAGAAAAGGACAACATAGTAACAGGAGGAAAATGTAAAGCACAAAACTAGATGATGACAATAAATCCAACTCTAAAAGAAATCATACAAAATATGTGGATCAAAATCATCAATTTAAAAACAAAATTTTAGACATAGTCTTTAATTCAGTAGTAAATTATATATAAGTGACATATTTGAAACACACAAGCTCCCTCTCTCTTCCAAACAAACTAGATTAGATGATAAGAGGCAGGAAAGAGAATGAACCTTTGCTTATAACCTACTGTAATGTACCCCCTCGTAATTTAAATTATGTCTCAGAGTTAGATTTTATTATTTCCATATTACAGACAGGGGATTGGGGTGCAGTGCTTAACGGCTGTACCCAGAGTCACACTTGGTAGTAATTTGCAGAGCAAAGATCTGCAAAGACTGGCTCTTGTGGACATCACAACAGTGCCATGTGAAACAAAGTGGCTTTCAGACCAGGACAGTGGTACTGAGATATTCTTATGATGCCCAAGTCACAGGTAAAAAGGAAACAGAGCTAATCTCTGCTGATGGTCCCATTAACGGGTTCTCAGTGTTTTCTGTTTTCATTTCTTTGGGGCAGTGAACACCCAGACCACTGAATTCAGAAATCTTTATATTGTAAACCACTTTGTTCATTCTCTACTAAATTCACCTGGTCTGTATAATTTGAAAAGCTGCATATTTTATTCTTTTTGATCAATTGTTTTTATTCAAAATGTTTCTTATTCTTTTTGATCAATTGTTTTTATTCAAAATGTTTTACGTAAGGAGTTCAACGTTTTCGTAAGAATGAGCTACCCATGCAGGCATCTACCTGCTCACTGGTGGGAGAGTGAACATAAATATTGTCCAGGGAAATTGAGAAGAAGGCAGCTGACATGTTTCTGCTAAGAAGAAGCCATCTCTTTCTTTCCATCTCTCTCTCTTCCTAAGAAAGGCAGATCAGGCCTAAAGCCCTAGCAGGTTAGCCGTGTTTCTTCTAGAAGTCAGGCCTACGATGGAGCGGTAGAAGCCAAAGGCAAGAGGAAAGAACTGGAACAGAGCTGGGCGCAGGGTGGCTAAGTCCACAACGTAAAAAGTTGAGGTCGTGTGATGTTTTTATTTCAATAGCTGACACCCTGCATTTTAAATAAGGCTTAACTTTTTAGGTACAAATTGTTAACCTAATACATTTTAATCTTTTTAAGATGATGCATAGTTTGATCTTGTACATATAAAATTTTACTTTTTGCCTGTCTCTAACTCGCTGACTAGCGGTTCTTCACCCTCTCCATATGTGTGTGTCCACGCACCTGTCTGTGAGTAGATACACGGAGAGAAACAATAAGATGTCTGACATGACGTTCACCTAATTTAATAATCAGAATTTCTAAGTAGTAGATTTTAGTTGGTATCTGTTTTCACTTTCACTTTGTTTTTTTTTTTTGAGCCGGAGTCTCGCTCTGTCGCCCAGGCTGGAGTGCAGTGGTGCCATCTCGGCTCACTGCAAGCTCCGCCTCCCGGGTTCACGCCATTCTCCTGCCTGGAGAATTCTCCTGCTGGGACCACAGGTGCACGCCACTGCCCCGGGCTAATTTTTTGTATATTTAGTAGACATGGGGTTTCATCGTGTTTGCCAGGATGGTCTCAATCTCCTGACCTCGTGATCCACCTGCCTCGGCCTCCCAAAGTGCTGGAATTACAGGTGTGAGCCACCGCACCCAAATGAAAATGCACCTTAATAAAATTTTAAAAAATAATTCATGCTTATTGTAGAACATTTAGAAAATGTTAAAAAGTATAAAAGAGCAAAATAGGTATCACGGCTAATTCTATGACTGTTAACATTTTAGTGAGTTTTCATTACAATCAACTTGAATGTTCAATTTGGACTCCTACTTTTTTTACATAATGTGTTTTTCTGTGTCTTTAATTATTTGGAGGCATGGAGAATGGGACTATATTCCAGGAGTCCGGAGAGTGAGGAATGATGGTGATCTGGGACTCTGGTTGTGGGAGTAGAAATGAAAGTCAATGAAGAAACTTGAGAAATATTTAGAGATAAGATTGACAGAACACAGTGATGGACTTGATGTGTATTTGAAATAACTTTACGTGTTTTATTTCCACAAATGTAAAGGTCTCATAATTTTGTCATAAATCACGCACAAAGAACACAAGGGCAACAATATCTTCACTGGAGACACATGCAAATTTCTTACAAAGTCAGCGTTTTAAATTGTGAATTCATGTGCCAACATATTTACTTAAAGGGTATAAAGAACCATGTTATGGGTATTATATTTTCTAATAATTTTACTCAACACTCTGAATGTGCATAGTCTATCCTAAAGATCAGGTAGAAATGACGGGATCTGAAATGATACAGGAGAAAAAGTCTTGGCTCTTAACCAGAGACTTTTATGGCATATTTCTATCTTTACTACATAACAGTGAAGTCTATTAAAAGTCCAAAACTGAAGCAAATTCACCTTTTTATAATGCTTCAATAATTGTGTTTTGAGGGTCTTTGCTACATACTTGAAATATATTTTCAAAGCTATCTGACTGATTTATGAAGAAATACACATGTGTTTTGTGCTTCACAAAAGCACATTTGGATATTATTAAACAGAAAAGATAAAATATTACATAGGTCTGAAGAATTAATTTTAAAATGTTTCTTTAAGATAAACAGTGTATCAACTATATCTTAAATGTCATCACTTTGGATGACCAACTAAGCAGATTTACAGACAACCGCATGGCTAAACAGGAATTATTTTGGTCTCTTTGTCATAAACTATTATGTCCAAAGACAGCAGCAGCATCTCCATCGACCCTGCAGTGGGAAATCTGCCCTGTCACAGTGGAATCTCCACGGGCAACAAGGGAAAGAATATACTTCACACTATGCATAATTCCTCAAAAGTTTTCTCATTTTGAGATTGGCTCAAAAACGATGTGCTAAATAAAATTCTAGCCATCACAGGTAAGGAAGAAGGAACTGTCAGCATTCCATCCTACGGGCTGTAATTCAGAGCTGCTGTACAAGTCACACGCTGTTCTTATCAGAAATCTGCTTTCTTAGCTTTTCTTTACACATTCCAACCTATCTTCACATATGCTGAGATTTCTGTGAGGAAGGGAGCACTCTAACATAAAATTATTGGTTGCTATTTTATGACTTGTCAGGTCTATGGCATTCAGAAATGCAGGCATGCATGCTGTGTGTCTTACCTGGCCAAGGCCCAAGTCAGCCAGACATGTGTCCCTGGGAATGGCCCCTCTGCTGATTGGCATTTGTCTGCAGGATGGATGCAGCCACCCCAAGACCTTCTGAATTCTCAAGGTTCCTTGAAGAACTGCAGGGAACTTTGCTTCTTTGATTACTGAAACTGGAAGATGCAGCAAACTCTTCCCAGGACAAAGAGCTGGAATAGAAAGGCAACCATGGCACTCACTGGCAACACTGTCTCCCCATGTGAAGGTCATTGGAGGTCAAGCTCCAGTAAACCCATCCAATAAACCTATTTCATGGAGGATTCATTCATTCATTAATTCTATAAATATTTCCTGAGGTTCTACTGTGTGCCAAGCACTATTCCCCACATCAGGACAGAATAGCCAACGAAAGAGTCAAAAACACCTTTGCTCGGAGCCTACATTTCCCATTTTGGAAGGCTTCTTGGGCCAAAAGAACCCAGAGAGAAGGACTCCATCCCTTCTCCTGCAGCACCAGAGAAGACCCTGCTGCACTCTACAATGGTCAAGTCCAGGAAAGAAAATTCAAGCTCCTGGTTATAAATGATAACTAACAACAAAGACTACAGCAACTGAGATGTTATGTTCCTTCTGCAAAGCTGAATTTCTCTAGTCTTAGTAAACATAAAGCTGCACTTTTCTTAGAAAAGCCAAGGGGAAATCAGAGGATGAATAATCGGAACCCTTGGAGTGAAGTGTAAGCCATCCGATATTTGGCTTATGTTTCACTGTCTGTTTCTTAAGAGGAGTTACCTTGTGTTCATTACCTTAGAGAAGAGAAAGACAGACAGAAAAAGAAAACTGTCACAGATGCTGGGAAAGTAAGCACTTGTATTAGTAACAGAAAACCACAGTAACGTGAGGAGTCACTCTCAGAAAGACTTTAAATCCTCTCTCACTCTCCAGCACATAGGAGGCCTAGGGATCTTTAGAGAAATCAGGGAGAAGGATAGATAATATCTCAGCACCATGACTCTCCCAGGAACATAAGATAGAATGTGAGGCAGGGGCCCCATCTTTCACCAGTTTCTACTCATTGGTAAGAAAACAAGGCTTGCTTTCTTATTTAAAGAACAAATCCTGTATCCACCATCTGAATTATTCTTGGCATCTGATGAGGGATGGAGACTACAGAGGCAAATTTGAAAGAAGAAATATTTTATTTTACAAGCTTGATTTGAATATAAGCCTTAAATTTATGTTGACCAAATCCAAGAATAAGATTATACAACCAAAACATAGCAAGGGGCAGGGGAAGTTTTGAGTTTTTTTCCTAATTACAAAGCCTACTAGGAGACTAATAATGGGGAAAACTTTCTCATGGAGCTGAATCCTGCAAAACCTAGTGATAAAGAACAAGAAAATAAGAATTGCAGTTTATTTCCATTCTCTTTTTCTTTCGTTATTTTATCTTTCTTAACCTATAATATATATGATTTTGCTTGTTCTAAAAGTGAGCTCACTAAAAGTGAGCCTTCGTTTTATGACAATTGTAGCCCAGATATATCTATTGGGAAATTTTTTATATGAATGCAGTGTCTATATCTATATAATATTCATTTTTGTAGTCTGTAGATCTGAATGGGTGACTAAATTAATGTTATGAACGGCTCACTTGAAATAACAAAGAGATAATTCCTTAATATATAAGCACAAAAATTAAAATCAATTTGCAATCTTGATCAAAGATATCAATAGTCACAAACAAGGCTGATTAAGAAAGCAACGTGAACATTCTGTAACTTGATCACAACCCATAATGAGTGTTGTCCAGAGGAGAGCCTTTTAGCAATTCACAAGGCCCTGTGTGCCTAACAGTTAATTCCTGCTTAGCCAGATTGTGCAGATTCATTCTCAGGCACAACATATAAAATGCTGGGAAATACCCCGATTTTTGGCTGCAGAACTGCAATTGAGCCATGAGGAAGACAGTCTCCGAGAAGACATAGGAGGGCACAGCTCTCCCATGAGGAAGACAGCCTCAGAGGAGACATAGGAGGGCACAGCTCTCCCATGAGGAAGACAGCCTCAGAGAAGACATAGGAGGGCACAGCTCTCCCATGAGGAAGACAGCCTCAGAGAAGACATAGGGGGGCACAGCTCTCTCATGAGGTAGACAGCCTCAGAGGAGACATAGGAGAGCACAGCTCTCTCACGAGGAAGACAGCCTCAGAGAAGACATAGGAGGGCACAGCTCTCTCATGAGGTAGACAGCCTCAGAGGAGACATAGGAGGGCACAGCTCTCCCATGAGGAAGACAGCCTCAGAGGAGACATAGGAGGGCACAGCTCTCTCATGAGGAAGACAGCCTCCGAGGAGACATAGGAGGGCACAGCTCTCCCATGAGGAAGACAGCCTCAGAGGAGACATAGGAGGGCACAGCTCTCCCATGAGGAAGACAGCCTCAGAGAAGACATAAGAGGGCACAGCTCTCCCATGAGGAAGACAGCCTCAGAGGAGACATAAGAGGGCACAGCTCTCCCATGAGGAAGAGAGCCTCAGAGAAGACATAGGAGGGCACAGCTCTCCCATGAGGAAGAGAGCCTCAGAGAAGACATAGGAGGGCACAGCTCTCTCATAAGGAAGACAGCCTCAGAGGAGGCGTAGGAGGGCACAGCTTTCCCATGAGGAAGACAGCCTCAGAGGAGACATAGGAGGGCACAGCTTTCCCATGGCAAAGGGCTCAAGAAGACCTGGACTCTGCTGTGAAGAAGGAAATTGTCCCAGAAAGTCCAGAGCAAGAGTCCTCCCAAATTCTTTATCAGCTCATCCTAAGAGCTCACTGGATGGCTTCACGGGGGTCATTAATTCTTCTCCTCACTCAGGAGCTCTAGTCCACAAGTATCCAGTTTCACACACAGCTGCAAGACACTCCATTCTAGGGCCACAGTCCAGGATGCAGTCTTCACAGATTTTTTGATCAAATGGATCAAGAGTAGAGGGTCTGTCCATGAATAATAAAACATAGGGAGGAAATAAGACACATAGAATGGAATTCTCTCTTTGGGTTGAGAATATATATACCCAATAATTCTTTTTTTATTCCTTTGTAGGGGAAGAAAGGTTTCTTTTCCTCACCCATCACTAGGACTATGGCCGATGCCCCTGTAACAAAGTACAGATTGAGAGAAAAGTGTACACATGTATTTAAAAAGCTTTATGTGGCACAGGAGTCTTCATAAGAAAATGACCCAAAGAAACAGGAAATCTTGTGTATCATAGTGCTTAGTTAGGTTGGATGAACAGTGGACTCAGGTATTGGTACAATTGGACAGAGTGAGTATGCTCTCATGGAGATAAACTGGGGGAACTTAGCAAGGCCTGTGTGTTCAAATTCTTCTCTGTGTCCCTGTGTCTTCAGAGATAAGGATGTTTCTTTCTTCTGGGTATAAGGACTCTTCCTCTCAAATGAGGTCTTATGATCTGCTCCTGGGGGGTCAGAGAGTGACCTGCCTGCATCTGCTTCTTCTCAAATGCCACTTGTGATGCCCTTCCTGGGAGACAAAGCCATCTTTGAGTATTTCAGGATTCCAAAATAGACTCCATTCCTTGGATTTACCAAAAGCACCAGCCTAAAGGGCCTGTCAGGAAGTTCACCAGAAAGAGAAACCTATTTCCCTGTAAGGGAAGTGGCTGGATGGTCCCGCCCCAGATTCTCTGATGTGGACCTCACTTGGGATGCAACCCTGGTACAGCTCCTCCATCTCAGTCATTAGAAGTAAGTTCATTGAAAATGGTCTTCTGATACAGTCATTGCTGAATTGCAGTTTCAACTAATTATACCCCTCAGAATCTCCTTGAATTCTAACAACTAAGTAACTAAATGTCTACTAAGTACCTATAATTGTGCTGTCAAGAGTAATAAGTGAGGCCAGGCACGGTGGCTCTCGCCTGTAATCCTGGCACTCTGGGAGGCCAAGGCGAGTGGATCACTTGAGGTCAGGAGTTTGAGACCAGCCTGGCCAACATGGTGAAACGCTGTCTCTACTAAAATTACAAAAATTAGCTGGGCGTGGTGGAGGGTGCCTGTAGTCCCAGCTGTTAGGGAGGCTGAGGCAGGAGAATCACTTGCACCCAGGAGGTGGAGGTTGCAGTGAGCCAAGATTGCGCCATTGCACCCCAGCCTGGGCGACAGAGCGAGACTCTGTGTCATTTAAAAAAAAAAAAAGAGTAATAAGTGAATAATATGCAACATTATTCTTTCTACAGCTTCATATGCGTTGCATTTACACATGTTCTTATGTTTTTTATGAGACTTATATAGTGTGCAATGTGTATTTTCAACAGTGAAACTAAAAACTTCTCATGTGTCTTTCTTCTTTGGCCTTAAAAATTATTTTTTATGCTAACTAAATCATCTACATTATTACTCTGTGCTAACTAACATAAATAAACTAGTACACTATTCTCATTTACCCAACTTTTTTATACCGTTCCTACCAACAGTTCCAAATATAAGCTGTATTCATCATCAGTTAGTTCTAAAGAGTTTAGGTGCTCCCCCAATGTGCTCCTACAGCATCCTGAACCTCCTGCGTATGAGCTTTGATCATCCTGTATTGAAATGAGAAAATCCTGCATTTCCACTTTGTGCTAACCCCAGCATACCACGTCTGCAGAGTAGAGACTGTGTGTATCTTACTCATCCTTGAAGTTGCAGTGCCTGGGACCCCAGCATACCACGTCTGCAGAGTAGAGACCGTGTGTATCTTACTCACCCTTGTAGTCGCAGTGCCTGGGACCCCAGCATAACACATCTGCAGAGTAGGGACTGTGTGTATCTTACTCATTTGCAGTCACAGTGCCTGGGACCCCAGCATAACACATCTGCAGAGTAGGGACTGTGTGTATCTTACTCATCTGCAGTCGCAGTGCCTGGGACCCCAGCATAACACGTCTGCAGAGTAGGGAGTGTGTATCTTACTCATCCTTGCAGTCGCAGTGCCTGGGATAGGTGCTCAGTTGCTGAATGGCCACAGCCCGTGTGTTCTTTCTGTAGTGTGTGTCTCATTCAGAGGCTCAGCTGCAGACACAGGCTGAACTTTACACAAACTTCTTTCCCACCAGTCTGTTTCAAAGGAGCTCAACCATGCCCCAACATACTTTGACCCTTTTCAGTATCAATTTTCAACTGCTGTTTTCTACTCCTTGAAAGCATAACAAATAAAAGAACTTTTCTTTTTCAGTAAATTCTGAAACATAATTACCTTACCAGTCATGCCAAGTGAATCTCATTAAGCTCTTTTGATTAAGATAATGCTAATTCATAAAAGAAAGTATCCTAAATTTAACAAACAGGAAAAATCAGGGACTTGTCTAATTCAACTCACAAAATTGAGCCACGTTTCTTTTACCATGAACATGGTGAAAGGGATTCAACTAACTAAATAAAAGAAAACAAAAGGTAAGGTTAAGTAATAGCATATTACATTTGGGGATGAAGGAGAGTCTCTAATGCTGTAACAGAGGGATTACTTTTGAACTTATTTTCCCCGTCTTTATTACTGACTTTGTAGAGGAGTAAATTGCATATTTTTTTTCTTTTTTTGAGACAGTCTCATTCTGTTGCCCAGGCTGGAGTGCAATGGCACGATCTCAGCTCACTGTAGCCTCCGTCTCCTGGGTTCAAGAGATTTTCCTGCCTCAGCCTCCTGAGTAGCTGGGACTATAGGCATGCACCACCACACCTGGCTAATTTTTGTATTTTCAGTAGAGACAGTGTGTCACCATCTTGGCCAGGCTGGTCTCCAACTCCTGGCCTCAAGTGATCCACCTGTCTCAGCCTCCCAAATCGTTGAGATTACAGGGGAAGCTGAGATAGCAAATTTGTTAAGGCTTTTGGAGTTGTTGTTGGATTCTGTAGGAGTAATATCACAAAGGGTGCCCATGTAGAAGGAGCCCCTTTACTCACAGCATTTATCATGACCTGGGTAACAGGCCTATTCAGCTGGGGAATATCCCAGTCATCATAAAGTCAGCCCCACACGGCTCACATACAAAGCATATCGGCTGGGTCATCTGGGGTGCTCCGACACACAAAGCATATCAGCTGGGTCATCTGGGGTGCCCCAACATACAAAGCATATCAGCTGGGTCATCTAGGGTGCTCTGCTTGGCATTTATAGGTGGAGTTGGACCATCTGCTTATCATGGAAAACAGACCTTCCTGTGGCTTTTCTCTAGTCCACTCGTCTGGCTGTTCCTGCATGAATAACCTCCTGTGTGTCTGGATCACATATACCCATCTGTGGTTGTTCAATAGTGAGTGTGGGTCCTGCACCAGCCCAAACAACTCTTCCACTCTGCAGCATTTAAAACCAGAGACGCTGCTCCTAAATTAGTCACTCTCGATCTGTTTTAGTAAAAGTTCCTCGAGAAGTTAATGATATCAATGTTCAAAATGGAGCAGTTCCTTCACAGGACACCCTCTGGTTTCAACAGTAGTTGGATTTTCCCTTCTCCCACATTCACTGCCTTCTTGGTGACCACAGTTCTGAAGGTACTTTCTGGTGTCCAGGCTTAATGTTCCCCTTTCTGGGTGGCTTTGAGGCTGGTGGCCTGAGTTGAGACAGACCCACATCTGAGTTTATTCCAGCCTCAAGGCCTTACCCAGCACCGTCTTTAACTTTCATTTTAGCCATTATAGATAACAATAACCAAGGGACTGAATCTTTTGCTTTTTTCTTGTTAGTTTGCATTTCCTTATGCATCCAGTGAACTAATTCCTGGGAGGTTGGATCCATCTCTAAATTCGGCTGATAACTTTTACCTTTAGTAACTGATCTCAACATAGCTGCAGCTTCATACCATGAGTGACCACGTGGCCACCTGGGAATCGAAGATTCTTCATCCTCCCACCCTTTAATCCTTTCTCTTTTCAAAGCACATGCTTCCATCAGTCAGGGCCATTTAAGCAAATCCCACTTCACTGACAATTATGTAGGGAAAAACTCTCTCAAACCTTGTTTTTTTTCCCTCTACTCTCACACCACAAAAATCATCAGCACAGAAGAAGACTTCTATGACCAAATGTATGGGGGTCTTTTCCCCATGCATCAAGCGCAGACACAAGTTTGGTGTCCTCGAATTCAGTTCTGACACTGTCTACCCTGAGATAGCATCAGGTCCCATAGATTGGGGGCTCAGTACCCAAGATTCTCCCCAGACTCCCAGACACGAGTTGCAAGTCTGGGCTTCCAGAACATCTGACTGACTGGCTTCAAGTTGAAGTTCCCATGATCCCCGCATTGAGTTTGATTAATTTGCTGGAACAGCTCATAGAACTCAGAGAAACACGTTTACCAGCTTATCACAAAAGATGCTACAACAGATACAGGTGAAAAGACACATAAGGCACGGTATGGGGGATGTGGCATGGCACTTCCTCACCTCCCTGGACACTACCCTCCTCTACGAACCTCCACGTGTTCAGCTAACCAGAAGCTTTGGTGCCATTTTCAAATGCCATAGCCTCACTTTGTGTCTGTGTCACATTTTGGTAATTCTAGCAATATTTCAAAATGTATTAGTATACTTGTTATGGTGCTCCGTGATCAGTGACCTTTGACGTTACTGCTATGTTCTGGGGCACCATGAGCTGCAACCATGTACGATGGCATACTTAATTGATACATACTGTATGGACTCTGACTGCCTCACCAACCCGCTGTTTTCCCATCTCTCTTCCTCTCCTTGGGCCTCCCTATTTTCTGAGACTCAACAATATGAAAATTAGGCCAATTAATAATCCTACAAGCCAAATAATAATCCTACAGTGGCCTATAACTGTTCGTGTAAAAGGAAGAGTCTCATGCATTTCTCACTTAAAATCTAACGCTAGAAATGATTAAGCTTAGTGAGGAAGGCATGTCAAAACATGAGACGGGCTGAAAGCTAGGCCTCTTGGATGAAACAGCCAAACTGTGAATGCAAAGGCAAAGTTCTTGAAGGATGTTAATCCAGTGAGCACACCATGCTAAGAAAGTGAAACAGCATTACTGTTGGTATGTGGAGTTTAATGGTCTGGATAGAAGGCCCAACCAGCCAGAACATTCCTTTATGCCAAATCCTAATTCAGAGGAAGGCCCTGACTCTCTTCGGTTCCTTAAAGGCTGAGAGAAGTGTGGACGCTGCAGAAGAAAAGTTTGAAGCTAGCAGAGATTGGTTCATGAGGTTTAAGGAAAGAAGTGCTCTTCATAGCATAACAGTGCAAGGTGAAGCAAGAAGTGTGATGGAGAAGCTGCAGCAAGTTACCCAGAAGATCTAGCTGAGATCACTGATGAAGGTAGCCACACTACACAATAGACTTTCAGTGTAGATAAAACAGCCTTCTCTACTGGAGGTACATGTCATCTAGGACTTTCACAGTTAGAGAGAAGAAGTCAATGCCTGGCTTCAAAATTTCAAAGGACAGGCTGAGTCTCATGACGGGTTAATGCATCTGGCAACTTTCAGTTAAAGCCAATGTGCCCTTACCATTCTGAAAATTCCAGGGCCCTTAAAACTTACGCTAAACCTACTCTGCCTGTGCTCTACAAATGGAACAACAAAGCCTGAATGACAGCACGTCTATTTATACTATGGTTTACTCAATATTTTAAGCTCACTGTTGATACCTACTGCTCAGAGAAAAAGTTTTCTTTCAAAATATTAGTACTCCATGACACCTAAGAGCTCTGATGGGGATATACAAGGAAATCAACTTTGTTTCCATGCCTGCTAATACAAGATCATTCTGAAGCTCAGGGATGAAGGAGTAATTTCAACTTCCAAGTCTTATTCTTTAAGAAATACATTTCATAGGGTTATCGCTGTCATATAATTCCTCTGATGGATTTGGGCAAAGTAAACTAAAAACCTTATGGAAGGTATTCACCATTCTAGATGCCATTGAGAACATTCATGATTCATGGGAGGGGGGCAAAATATCAACATTGACAGGAGTTTGTAAGAAGTTGATTAAAATTGTCATGGATAACTTTAAGGAATTCAAGACTTCAGTGGAAGAAATAACTGCAGATGTGGTAGAAAGAGCAAGAGCAAAAGAACTAGAATTAGAAGTGGAGCCTGAAGATGTGACTGAATTCCTGCATCTCATGATCAAACTTGATGAAATGAGGACTTGCTTTTTATGGATGAGCAAAAAGAAAAGTGGTGTTTTTTTTTTGGGAGGGATGAAATCTCCTCCTGGTGAAGATACTATGAACATTGTTGAAACAGCAATAAAGGACTTGGAATATTCAATAAACTTAGTTGATCAAGAAGCAGCAGGCTTTGAGAGGATGGACTCTAATTCTGAAAGAAGTTTCACTGTGGGTAAAATGCTATTAAACAGCATCACATGCCACAGAGAAATTTTTCATCAAAGGAAGGGTCAATTGATGTAGCACACTTCACTGTCGTCTTATTTTAAGAAATTGCTGGCCAGGCGCCATTTCTGATGCCTGTAATTCCACAACTTTAGGAGGCTGAGGCTGGTGGATCACCTGAGGTCAGGAGTTTGAGACCAACCTGGCTGACATGGTGAAACCCCGTCTCTACTAGAAATACAAAAATTAGCCAGGCATGGTGTTGGGTGCCTATAATCCCAGCTACTTGGAAGGCTGAGGCAAGAGAAATCACTTGAACCCTGGAGGCAGAGGTTTCAGTGAGCCGAGATCCTGCCACTGCACTCCAGCCTGGGAAACAGACTGAGACTCCATCTCAAAAAAAAAAAAAAAAAGAAATTGTCACAGGCACTCCAACCTTCAGTGCCCACCACCCTGATCTGTTGGCAGCAATCAACATAGAGGCAGGACCCCCATCATCAAAAAGATTACAACTTGCTGAAGGCTCAGATGATCAATAGCATTTTTATCAATAAATTATTTTAAATTAAGGCATGTACATTGGTATTTTCAGACATATTGAAATTGTACTCTTAATAGACTACAATATAGTGTTCACATGACTTTCATGCATTGCAAAACCAAAAAATGTGTGTGGCTCACTTTATTGCAGTGTAGTCTGGAACCGAACTCACAATATTTCCAACGTGTGTCTGTAAATAGGACAGAGATACAGTGAGTCGTTAATGGTCAAGAAACCCAGAAACCTGATGAGAGTAAACTAGCCTCAAGACTGAGGAAAAACTTTCCAGAAGAATTTGGGCCTGTTATTGTCCTCATTCATGCATGCAATACTAACCTGCATGCCTACTTATGCCAAGAACTATTTTAAGAGATAGAGATTCAGCAATTAACAAAACAGTCTCTGCTCTCATGGAGCTTGCATAGGGCAAAGTGGGAGCAACCAGTGAAGAAATTTGAAAATGTGTATACAAGATAGGTCAGATGATAAGAAGTGCTTTAAAGAAGAATAAAGTAAAATAAGAGAATAGAGAGTAAGAAGGTGCCATTTTAAGTGAAATGGTCAGAAAAGATTCTTCTTATGACAGAGTAATAATTAATAATTAAGCAAAGGCCTGGATAAGAGAGGAAGTAAGCCATGCTGATTCCTGATGAGAAAGCATTCCAGGCAAAGGGGACCACACATGCAAAGGCCCTGAGGCAGAAGCACATCTGCCTGGTGTCTTTGAAGATTGCAATAATAGAGGGGAGACTGATGGGACTAGAGATCAGAGAAGTGTCAGGGGACAAGATGGTTTAAGACATTCCTAGCCATGGAAGGTTTTAAGCAGATGAAAATATTATTTGCCTTATGCTTTAAAAAGACTTACTCTGGATCACCTGAGGTCAGGGGTTCGAGACCAGCCTGGCCAACATGGCAAAACCCCGTCTCTATTAAAAATACAAAAATTAGCCAGGCTTGGTGATGCATGCCTGTAGTCCCAGCTACTTGGGAGGCTGAGGCAGGAGAATCGCTTGAACCCAGGAGGTAGAGGTTGTAGTGAGCCCAGATTGCACCACTGCACTCCAGCCTGGGTGACAGAGGAGACTCTGTCTCAAAAAACAAAAATAAATACTTACTCTGGTTGCTCAGTGAAGAACAAAGTGCAGGGAGAAAGAGAAAGTGGGAGAGGAGTTAGGAGGCTATTTTGATAATCCATGAAAGCAATGACGTAAAGTGAAGCAGGGTGTACACAATGGGTGTGGCAAGGGAAGCTCAGATTCTGAATACAGTTCAACAGTGTATGCTGATATGAAGTGCAAGAAACAAAGAAGGGTCAGGGCAAGTTTTCTGGCCTAACGGCTGGTATGCTGGAGGTGCTATTTACTGAGACGGAGAAGACTGAGGAGTGTTGGGCCCAGGGGTTGAAGGTGGAGGATCAAGAATTCCCTTATGGATGTGTGATAGTTGTCTATTAGTCTTCCAAGTGGTGATAACTGGCAGATAATTAGATATGAGTCTAAATTTTAGAGGAGAGGTAGGAGCTGGAAATATGTATTCATGGACCGTGCACACACACATGGAATTTAATGCCATTGGGCTTCATGAGATCACAGAGGCATGAGTGCACCTAGAAAAACGGTTGAGAACTGAGACCCGGGATACTCCCTTGTTAAAAGGTAAATGTTCCTTTTACATTTTGAACTTATAGAAATAATGACACAGTAGCCAGCCAGTTGCTGAAACTCTACTCAGTTCAGAGTAAAACAAAATTCCTATTTTATCGAATCACTGAATGCCATTTAAAATTCAGAATACTTGCAGAGATCCCAAATATCTTAATAAAGATGAATGCCTAAGTTCAGATTGGTGGCCTAGACTCTGCCTTCCCTGATTGTCTATTTAAAAATAACAATAATGATAATAATAAGAAGAAAATATTTATGGATCACTAGATATGTTGAAATACACTCAAAGGTAGATTCATTTCTTTTCTACTATACCCTTGTAACTATCAGTCTATAAAATAGTTTTATTAGAAAGTCACAGTCACCCTCAAGCCAATAGCAGCTTATAAATACAGGGCAAGGAGCCTGGTGTGGGGAGGCTGAGAAATAATTGAGAGAGCCAGTAGATATGAAGCTAACAAATAACACTGTCAACCAGAATTAGGCAGATAAGCCAGAGGCAGTGCAAGTGGCGGGTCAAGACAAGTAGACAGACAGAAGCCAGGAGTGAGAGACGGGAGGTCCAAAGTGCAATAAAACACTCAAGAACCAGTCAATCCATGGGAGCTTACAGCTGGAGGGGCGGCTGAAGGGAGGAGCATCCAGGTAGAGGGGAAGGAATGGTGGTATGAACAGGAGGCAGGAGGGCTCAAGCTATTTGATATGTTTGAGAGTGAGGTGCTTTTTTGAGGCTGAGAAAATAACTGGAAGCCAGAATCTGGAGGACTGGGTAGACCATGTTAAACAGCAAGCACTTGATTCTGCATGTGTTGGAAGCCAGTGCAGGGCTTCTAAGCAAGGCAGTGACATGATCACATCACATTTTAGGAAGGTTACAAATTAGGCATGGCCACAGGCAGGAAGACCTGAGGGATCTCTTACAGTCAGGGATAAGAGTCTAACCAACAAGGTGGCCATGAACATTCAAAGAAAGAAGACCGAAGAGACTTTAGAAGGCAGCCTCCACGGGACCTGACTGAAGGGGTTTGGGAGACTCACAGCTTTCTGCTGTGAAGTCAAGGATATCACAAACTATTGGAATAAAAGAAACAGTCCTAGGGCTGGGGGTAGGTAGGTGAATGCAGTTCCTTTTTGAACGGAGGAGAAAATTCAGGTAATTCATTTTGATTGATCAAGCAAAATAATTTGAAGCTGAACATTATAGAAGCAACAACAATTCTTATGATGTTGGGGTATAGGAAACAGGCCCAAGAAAGCACAGTATTTCCTGTTTCTCTTCTGATTCAATAAATAATAAGAATATTTTCTGTTAAAGTTTTTGATAACGTGTTGTTTTAATTAATCAAAAGGAGACAAGATACATTTGAACTTAAAAGCATAAGAAAATCAGTTGTCTTTTTAGAAAAGGTGAGTCAGCATGGGTAGGAATAATCAATATCGTGAAAATGGCCACACTACCCAAGGTAAATTATAGATTCAATGCCATCCCCATCAAGCTACCAATGATTTTCTTCACAGAATTGGAAAAAACTACTTTAAAGTTCATATGGAACCAAAAAAGAGCCCGCATTGCCAAGTCAATCCTAAGCCAAAAGAACAAAGCTGGAGGCATCATGCTACCTGACGTCAAACTATACTACAAGGCTACAGTAAGCAAAACAGCATGGTACTGGTACCAAAACAGAGATATAGACCAATGGAACAGAACAGAGCCCTCAGAAATAATGCCGCATATCTACAACTATCTGATCTTTCACAAACTGACAAAAACAAGAAATGGGGAAAGGATTCCCTATTTAATAAATGGTGCTGGGAAAACTGGCTAGCCATATGTAGAAAGCTGAAACTGGATCCCTTCCTTACACCTTACACAAAAATTAATTCAAGATGGATTAAAGACTTACATGTTAGACCTAAAACCATAAAAACCCTAGAAGAAAACCTAGGCAATACCATTCAGGACATAGGCATGGACAAGGACTTCATGTCTAAAACACCAAAAGCAATGGCAAGAAAAGACAAAATTGACAAATGGGATCTAATTAAACTAAAGAGCTTCTGCACAGCAAAAGAAACCACCATCAGAGTGAACAGGCAACCTACAGAATGGGAGAAAATTTTTGCAACCTACTCATCTGACAAAGGGCTAATATCCAGAATCTACAATGAACTCAAACAAATTTACAAGAAAAAAACAAACAACCCCATCAAAAAGTGGGCAAAGGATATGAACAGATACTTCTGAAAAGAAGACATTTATGCAGCCAAAAAACACATGAAAAAATCCTCATCATCACTGGCCATCAGAGAAATGCAAATCAAAACCACAGTGAGATACCATCTCACACCAGTTAGAATGGTGATCATTAAAAAGTCAGGAAACAACAGGTGCTGGAGAGGATGTGGAGAAAGAGGAACACTTTTACACTGTTGGTGGGACTGTAAACTAGTTCAACCATTGTGGAAGTCAGTGTGGCAATTCCTAAGGGATCTAGAACTAGAAATACCATTTTACTCAGCCATCCCATTACTGGGTATATACCCAAAGGATTATAAATCATGCTGCTATAAAGACACATGCACACGTATGTTTATTGCGGCACTATTCACAATAGCAAAGACCTGGAACCAACCCAAATGTCCAACAATGATAGACTGGATTAAGAAAATGTGGCACATATACACCATGAAATACTATGCAGCCATAAAAAAGGATGAGTTGATGTCCTTTGTAGGGACATGGATGAAGCTGGAAACTATCATTCTCAGCAAACTATCACAAGGACAAAAAACCAAACACTGCATGTTCTCACTCATAGGTGGGAATTGAACAATGAGAACACATGGACACAGGAAAGGGAACATCACACTCCGGGGACTGTTGTGGGGTGGGGGGAGGGGGGAGGGATAGCATTAGGAGATATACCTAATGCTAAATGACCAGTTAATGGGTGCAGCACACCAACATGGCACATGTATACATATGTAACAAACCTGCACGTTGTGCACATGTACCCTAAAACTTAAAGTATAATAATAATAAAAAAAAGAAAATAATAAGACTAAAGTCAAACTGTCCATTAAAATTTATATAATTCAATTTTGAGATTTTCTTAGTATATAATTTACATACATGACATACATGTGGATGTTTGGAGGTATATCCACATACATTCACCCATTTATTCTTTTATTTATTAATTTGTTTATTTGCTCATTAAAAAAATACTAAGTGATTACTCCAGGGATTGGGGTCTAAACATGTATAAGCCTTGGGGCCTCTCCTTAAAATCCACTGAGGCAAAGATGGGCAAATAAGTGGCTATAATGTATCCTGAAAAAAAAAGGAAAAGGAGAGTCAGTATTTCCTATGGTCTGAAATCATCTTTCAAATAATGGGATGTGAGACAAATGAGATGCTACTTATCTAGCCCTTTCCTTGATAGATTAAAAACGATATCAAAATCTTACTACATTGCAAAGACAGTAATTCACTCAGTTGAGAATCCACAGTATACAAACATATAAATCAAGGGAATTTTAAAAACAATCATTGTGTTCAAAATGGGAAGAGTATTTCAAATTTTTTCTACATATTTCAGAATAATTTCACAGTTAAAAACCCTGTACTTTATGAAATCATTATCCAGTATTTAATAAAGTATATCTATGACAATATCAACGTTGGAATTTAACAGTTTACAAAGCACTTTTGATACATCACATTTAAATGAAGGCGGCAACGAGTTCAGTACATTCACGCAGATTAGAAAACAGTTTTTGAAGATTGCATTTGTTCATGTAAGTCAGAAGGTTTGAACTATTTCCTACCCCTGCTATAGGTTTAAACCTAAGAATTGTTATTCATTACGATTTGGTCTTTAAATAAATCACGAAGGTAGAGGGTAGAGCACACCCCTTCAATGCACTGAGGTGCCGTAAGGCTCCAACGCCAGAGGCGGCCGGTTGGAATTTAGTTCAATCACGCGTTTGTTATGAAAACTCTGACAAGCTTCAGCTCTAAAGTAAGCTTGGAAACACAAAGAAACTCTGAGAAAAATACCAAACACACACACACAAACACACACACACACACTCACTCCTCTCTTTTTAGCTGGGCATAGAAAATGTAAGTGTACCAACAAGCAACCTCCAAAGAGCAAATGAAACAGAAAATTCAAACGAGCGCCTGGTAGGAGTTGTAACTTCAACAAAGTGCCTCTCATATCTGCCTCATAAACCCGTACTCATTTTTCACAACTAACTCACATAGCACCTCCTCAGTGACACCTTTCCTGTTCTGCCCACCAGATATACCTGCGGACCAAGCGTAGTCTCTCACCCAGAACACAGGGCACCTTATACAGGGGGCTCTGTCTACAGGGGGCTCTATGCTTTGACAGGAACTGTGGACCTATGGGCAGCGGTTTTTCAAATCATGTTTGTGGCTCTCATTACAATTGTCCTGCCTCAGGCACCCAGCAGGCGGTAATAAATGCTGGTTGAACACTAAAACCTTGGAATGCTACATCATTGTTCTAAAGGATAGTCATTTTTTAAAACATTTTGGAAGTTCTTTTGAAACTGACTTTTTAGATTATGAAAATATCTCAGTGATAGGTTTTGGTTTTCCAAGTTAGACCTTATTTTATTTTAGAAACTGTCAAAAGTTATACAAAACCAAGCATGTATCTCTGTGCGTTTTGTTTTCTCTTCTCCCTTACTGCTAAGGAAGGGTTTCTTCTCTTTTCTAGGCCAAATGCTCCACAAATGAATGTGTTAACAAATGAACAAATTAATAAATGACACGAATGGGAGCTCAAACTGCATAAAAGTATATTTACTCAAAAATGGGAGGTGACGATTGCTAACATGTCATAACCAGACTCTGTCATGACCTCGGCAAGCCACAACATTGACAATAAAGAGGAAAGAGGATCAAGTCCCTAAATACCCAGGTGAACTAAGACCTTCCCACGTGCCCGAAGAAGATACACTTGCAGAGGAGAAATGATGATGCAGGGGCCTGCTCCGAGATGCAGGAGGAAGTTTAATTGCCTGTGAATTTCACTGGGAAGGAAGGGATGAAACGAGGTTTGAAAGGAAATAGAGATTGTTAAACTCCTGACTAGGCGATAACTGCCGTCCTTCTCTTCCATCTGCCCCTGTGACTAGGCGATAACTGCCGTCCTTCTCTTCCATCTGCCCCTGTGACTAGGCGGTAACTGCCGTCCTTCTCTTCTATCTGCCCCTGTGACTAGGCGATAACTGCCATCCTTCTCTTCTATCTGCCCCTGTGACTAGGCGATAACTGCCGTCCTTCTCTTCCATCTGCCCCTGTGACTAGGCGATAACTGCCGTCCTTCTCTAATATCTGCCCCTGTGACCAGGCGATAACTGCCGTCCTTCTCTTCTATCTGCCCCTGTGACTAGGCGATAACTGCCGTCCTTCTCTGCTGTCTGCCCCTACCTTGGGCCCCAAATGGCTCAGCACTAAAGTGCCTTGAGCAGGCTCCAGCCCAAAGGTGGCCTCCATGGTTACCACTTCCCACTCTGCTGCCCTGCCTCGCTTTCCTCCTCGGCCTTCCCGGATGGATGACAGATGTCATTCCCAGGTTCCCTAACACTCAAGCCTAGCCCCTCAGTTTCTAGCAAGCATCAAGCTTCACTGTGTGTCTAGCCTCTCAGGAGTCAGACCTGAGAAGTATAGCTTGGTGGAAATTCAGTGGCAGGGAAGAAAGAAGGAAGGAAAGAAGACTCTGAGCTGGATTCATACACATCATCGCAATTCATCCACACCACAGTCCTGTAAGGTATGTGCCATTGTACTCAGAAAACTGAGGCTCAAAGAGATTGAGCAACTTATCTAAGCCTTCGCAGGTCCTGAGAGCAGAGCTTGGATTTTAAACACCTGGGAGACTCTGAAATCCATGTTAGCTCTTCTATACATGAGCCCAAAACGCAGCTGTACACCAAGACTGACTTCCTCTTACAGCTTATCACTAGCTCTGAATACAAGAGTCCTCAAAATGCTTTATAAGCAACAGTAGCATCATGGGAATAAGTTGGCAAGTTCCCAGCATTACTGCTTTAGAGGCACTTGAACTTATTCTCCATGTATAGAGTCAAGAATAAGAAAAAGGATCCAAAGGAGAAGGAGAGAAATAAAACGGGACTGAGCCTTATACTTCTTGACCCAGAACAGACAATGGTGGGATTTTCCTTACTTTTTTTCCAGGCAAATCCAATAAAGACGTCTGTTTCTGTTACCTAAAACCAACTTGAAAAGTTTGCTCCCTCCCACCTTAAGTGTCTTTGAATAGAGCCCACAGTTGAACATTGGTTCCTACGGCAAAGATTCATTTCAAAGTGTTTATAGTATTATTCGAAGCACGTTTGATTTCAGCCTGGGCAACCATGGCAGAATGTCAGCAATGCTCCCCGTATTAGCTGTCGGAGAGAAAACACTGTGAAACCCAAACACCTTGGTTATTGGGCCAATGAAACATTTATGCCCTGATCAGATGGAGCAAAGCTTCGGCAGGGTTAGTGAGCCACCTTCCAAGTGTACCAATGAAGCTCTTGCCTGCTGTTTCAGATAAATGACTTTCATTTCACTGTTGGCTTGTGCTTGAGAAGGTTATTCAATTGATTCCAGTTGTTTGCAATGCCTTGAAGGCAAGTAATGTTGTAGCATCCACTGTCCTCATAACACACTGTTTCTTTTCTAAGGAAGGTTGTTGTCATAATACCCTAGATATCCACAGAAAATATTCTACTTCTTATCATATATTAATTTTGCTCTGGAATAAGTAAATGTAACTACCAGAATGCTAATGAGGATGTTACACTGTTGTTTATTTGTGTGTTCTAATCTGTAGATAAACAGCAAGATCTCTTTTATTTCATGATTCCAAGTCTCAGGCCACAGCAGGACAAGTATCAAAACATCTATTCTCAATTCGGAGTTGAGATTTCTAATAAGAATTCTATTTTCTCCATAATCATAAAATAGCACCAGGAAAAGTCAATATCTATCTTAAAATACAGACCATTGAAAAGTAGATCTTTCTGCCCTTAACATAAACAAACTGTAAAATCTGAAGTTAAAATTATTCCTTGTACCAGCCTCCTAATTTACCCAGAGTTAACAGAAAAGTTATAGCAGTGCAGGAAGCTCTGAGGCTTTGATGGGTGTAGATATAGACATACAAACCTATCATTTCACACTAGTCAGAATACCAGTCATAGAAATCCCCGCAGGGAAAAATCTGAAGGTATCTGGTCTTATGGACTGTATAATTAAACTTTCTTATCATTGTACCTAAACCGAAATATGCTTCCTATACAAAGAAGGTTTCTTTCAAGAGTTAAGACTGCCTCCTGCCATCCTCCTTAACACACACGCACACACATGCACACACACACACACACACACACACACAGAGAGAGAGAATTGAGAGCATTAGTCCTTTTCTCCCTTAGACTGATTTTTTCTTACTGTTATTTTCAGCCACTTTGTTAACGGTGGGGTTAAAGGGCAGGATAGATGTAACACCCATTTCACATACATATTGCAACATCAGAGATACTGGTTTTCATTAAAAACACCAGATCTAAATTCCTTCTAAAATATATTTTAAAAAATCAGTACACTTGGCACCTTGGAAATGCTGAAATGTTATCATGAATGCTCGTTATTTGTTATGAGTCAATTGAATATTATCTTCAATATAAACTATAATTTACTGGTCTGATAGCTCTTCCTATCTTACCTGTATATACTCAAAGGGAGCGATTTCTCATGTTTAGCAAATTGTTCTTTAGGTAATTTGTTCTTTAGGTTTTTTGTACAAAAGTACAAAATAGTTATCACAGCAAACTTTCCAGTATTTGTTATTTTGAAGCTATATGGTTTTTTTTTTTTTTTTGCCATGTCAGGCTTGAGCAGGATAGCAAATATATAAATTGAGCTCTCTAATTATAATCTCAATATATGAATTCTTGCTAATTAAAATACTTTGCACCAGCAAAAACAATTTTCATGTATGTGTTTAGGAGGTAGTTAAGTAACTCTATATAAAAATAAGTGCACTTTCCCCTCCTTTCTTCAGTGACTAGAAAACGTCCATATTTTTAAAATAATCAAATAATAATTTTAGAGAGCAACAGCCCTCAACTCTTTGCTGGTGCTTATCACACTGCCTTTCTTCACTCCATTCTTAGCTCTGCTAGTTTCTTCTTGTCTGTAATGATAATAAGGGAATGTGGGTGGGTCAGCACTTCTGTGTAGGTCCCCTTTCCAAATTTACCTTCCAAAAAGCCAACCAAATAAACAACCAAAAAATTGTGCAACAAAACACAAATAGCGTTCCAATAGCAAGTGATGCATTCACCTGAGATTAAGTGGTTTTAGGTGGTCAGTAACAAAATGCTGCTTTGCTGTCATAGTAGAAAGGCAACAAATTCTTCAAAGAAACCAAGAAGGTTACAACCTTGACAAAGTCTCTCATTACCTTCCTCCTCTTGTGTCTTTTTTCTCCACATTATCTGTTGCGTATCTACTATAGAAGGCTGCAAAACATACAGCAGAAAGGATGGCTTGAAGGCAATTGATGTTTGTAAAAAAATCCACAACAGGATCCAAGCTGAAGAGGTGAACACGTCAGCCTGGTGGGACAATTCTCAGCATGTGCAAACATAGGTAAATTCTAGCCTATGTTACATTAAAAACAATGTCAGTGCATTTTTTCATGTTAAAGTTTTTTTCAAAGCTAAAGTGTGTTCCTTGTTGTGCTGACCACAAACGAGTTTTAAGAGTTTTGAAAGTCTGGCAAAAATAGAAAAAAAAAAAAGCTGTAGTGACATTGAACTGCTCAATGTAAGCATTGGGCATGCACAAATTTTCAAAACAAAGGAAGGAAATCATCCCTCTTACAACATGGTTAGGCTGATCTTTAAGAAATAAAATGTAAGAAATTAGAAAAGCAAATGTTTGGCACCTACATATCCAATATCTGGCACCGTGCAGAGTAGAAGAGTGAAAGAAATAACGAAGAACAAAGTGGTTACTTTGCTTCAGGAGTTCATGATCTGTAGTTAGAAACCAATATAAACATTGTGAGTATATTTCAAAGAAAGAGAAAAGCAGGCCGGGCATGGTGGCTTGCACCTGTAGTAATAACGCTTTGGGAGGCCAAGGTGGGAAAATTGCTTGAGCTCATGAGTTTGATACCAGCCTGAGAAATATAGTAAAACCTCATCTCTATAAAAAAAGATTAATTAAAAAAAAGGCAGAGCAAAAACAAATATGAAAGAAAACATTAGAAATCAGAGCTTGGGCAAAGAGTTAAATGTGAGCAAAGCATCTCTGCCTTGGGGGGCCTCTGGAGCATCCCGGCTTCCTGTAGAGGCCCCACCACATGGCCCTTTCCCATCACTGGGAACTGTCTTCTGTATCGTGCCAGGATTTTCCCCCAAACTTCTCAACCTAATTTATTCAGCCAAAACATATATATTTCTTGAATCCTTGCTAAGAGCAAGGCACTGTTCTACATAATGAAAATATGGCAATGATATAAAACAAAAATATTTACCCTCATGCAAATTACATTCCAGTGAGAAAAGACAGATCATTAATAAAATAAATATGTAAAATATAGAATATGCCAGAAGGTAATAAGTGGTACAGAGAAAAATTAAGCATGGAAGGGAGCTCAGGAATGCTGGGAGTGGGTAGATGTGAAGGTAGTTAGAATGCTCAAGGAGGGAGTAATAGGCAGAAGAATGGCCTTTCTACATGTCCATATCCCTATATGGCAAAAAGGACTTGTGGATGTGATGAAGTTATGGATCATGAGATGAGGAGATTATTCTGGATTACCCAGGTTGGCTCAATGTCATCACAAGAGTACTTAAAAGCAAAAGAGGGAGGCAGGAGAGTCCGAGGCAAGAGGCGTGACAGCTAGGGTCAGAATGACGTGGTGGCTGCCTGGAAGGGGGCCAGGAGCCAAGGGATGCAGGCATCCTCTCAAAGCTGCAGAAGGTAAGAAAGTGGTCTCTCTCCCCTAGAGAGAGTGTGTGTTCTCTTAGCCTACTAGAGGTGTGTTAATTTATTCCTGCAGTCATAGAAAACATATAGAAGGTCTCACTGAGAAGACAACATTTGAACAAAGATTCCAAGGAGGCGAGGGCACCAGCTATGCAGATATCTGGGGAAGAGCACTCGAGGAAGAAAAGGCAGGCAAACAGCAGGGTGCACACCTAGCCCAGGTGCATGAAGTAGAGAACACTGGGAGTCAGAAGGCTAACAGGAGACAAGTCAGAGAGAGGGACTGGGGTGGGTCAACTCACACTCAGCCTCACTGGCTACTGTAAGAACTTCAAGTTATTCTGAGACACTCAGTATAGGAGAGTCTATGAATATTTATAGAAATTCTGAATGTTTACAAGACGAATAAAAGTGGTATGCTAGTAAACTTATTGGTTGGGTGGGGAGAAGCCCAGATTTGTAGCATTTGCTGATTTCCATTGTGTAAATATTTCTACTGATGGTTTGACAAACACTTCATAAAATTCCTGGGTACTTAATTATCAGCTCCAGTAGAGCACTGCATGTATGACATCCCATTTGCCAATTCCACACTAGATTCTGTTGGGGACAAGCTGTATGAGAGTCAACTAGCAACAGAAATAAGGAAGTCCTCAATAAAAATCAGCATTTACTTTTGACAGATGTGAGATTCTGGAATGTATTTCTCTTTACTTGCTCTGCCTGGTGATTAAATTATGATTTTAAAAGAAATAGTTTTAATTCCTTATCAGAATGCTGCCACCAAATAAATAAAATACGTACTTTAACTATATGCAATCTTGTCTATATTATACTGTTGTCAACGGAAACATTATCAGGGGCCAGCTTCATGAAAGGAGATATGTGATAGAAGCTGGAGTTGTTGGAGTGAAAAAAAAAGTCAAATTTTACTTTGGATTAATCAGAGGGAAGAAAGCAGACAGATAGGAAAGGAAAGGCAGGCTTAGCCAAGTTGAAGAAAGAGGCTGAACTCAGGAGGCAGTGGGAGAATAGGATCATAGTTTGAAGAGAGCTGCAAGGCTGTTTAGTCCAGGTGAGGATCATAATCCCAGAAGACCCAGTCACAAACACCATAACCCTGAATGTTGAAATCCTGAAAGATCAAAATTCCTAAGGTCTAAATTCATTTCTTTTTAGTAGAGATGGAGTGAATTAGTTCATTCTTGTGCTCCCAATAAAGACATACATGAGCCTGGGTAATTTATAAAAGAAAGAGGTTTAATTGACTCACAGTTTGGCATGGCTGGGAAGGCTTCAGAAAACTTACAATCATGGTGAATGCAAACAAGAAGCAAGGCACTTTTTCACAAGGCAGCAGGAGGTGCTGAGCAAAAGGGGAAAAGCCCCTTATAAAACCTTCAGGTATTGCTCACTGTCATGAGAATAGCATGGGGGTAACCACCCCCCTGATTCAATTACCTCCGACTGGGTTCCTCCCACAACATGTAGGGATTATGGAAACTAAAATTCAAGGTGAGATTTGGTTGGCAACACAGCCAAACCATATCATTCTGCCCCCAGCCCCTTCCAAATCTCATGTCCTTACATTTTAAAACATGATCATGCCTTTCTAACAGTCCCCCAAAGTCTTAGCTCATTCCAGCATTAACCCAAATGTCCAAGTCCAAATTCTTATCTTAGACAAGGCAAGGCCCTTCTGCCTATGAGCCTGTAAAATCAAAATCAAGTTAGTTACTTCATAGATACAATGAGGGTATAGGCATTGGGTAAATACACCTGTTCCAGATGGGAGAAATTGGCCCAAAATGAAGGGACTGCAGGCCCCACGCAAGTCCAAAATTCAATGGGTCAGTCAAATCTTGAAGCTCTGAAATGATTTCCTTTGACTTCATGTCTCACATCCAGGTCACGCCGAAGCAAGAGTTGGGCTCTCATGGCCTTGGGCAACTCCACCCCTGTTGATTTGCAGGGTACAGCCCTTCTCCTGGCTGCTTTCACAGGCTGGTGCTGAGTGTCTGTGGCTTTTCCAGGCATACGGTGCAAGCTGTCAGTGGATCAACCATTCTGGAGTCTGGAGGATGGTGGCCGTCTTCTCTCAGCTCCACTAGGCAGTGCCCCAGTGGGGATGGTGTGGGGGCCCACATTTCCCTTCTGCACACATTGCCCTAGCAGAGGTTCCCCATGAGGGCTCTGTCCCCGTCACAAATTTGTGCCTGAACACCCAGGCATTTCCATGCATCCTCTGAAATTTAGGCGTAGATTCTCAAACCTCAATTCTTGACTTCTGTGCACCCACAGGCCCAACACCTCGTGTAAGCTGCCAAGGCTTGGGGCTTGTACCCTCTGAAGCCATGGCCTGAGTTGTACATTGGCCCTTTAGCCATGATTGGGACACACGGCACCAAGTCCTGAGACTGCACAGAGCAGCAAGGCCCTGCACCGGGCCCATGAAACCATTTTTTCCTCCTAGGCCTCCTGTCCTGTGATGCCTTGAGCTACTGTGAAGGTCTCTGACATACCCTGAAGACATTTTCCCATTGTCTTGGTGATTAACATTCAGCTCCTCGTTACTTATGCAAATTTCTACAGCTGGCTTGAATTTCTCTCCAGAAAATGGGTTTTCCTTTTCTGTCTCATCATCAAGCTGCAAAATTTTTTAAACCTTTATGCTCTGCTTCCTCTTGAACACTTTGCTACTTAGGAATTTCTTCTGCCAGATACCCTAAATCATCTATCTCAAGTTCATAGTTCCACAGACTTCTAGGGCAGGGGCAAAATGCCGTCAGTCTCTTCGCATAGTAAGAGTCACCTTTACTCCAGTTCCCAAAAAGTTCTTCATCTCCATATGAGACCACCTCAGCCTGGACTTCATTGTCCATGTCACTATCAGCATTTTCCTCAAAACCAATCTGCAAGGCTCTAGGAAGTTCCAAACTTCCTCACATTTTTCTGTCTTCTTTCAAACCCTCCAAACTGTTCAAACTCTGCCTGTTACCCAGTTCCAAATTCACTTCCACATTTTTAGGTATCCTTATAGCAACACCCCACTACCTCAGTGCCAATTTACTGTATCAGTCCATTCTCATGCTGCTAATAAAGACATACCCAAGCTGGGTAATTTATAAAGGAAAGAGGTTTAACTGACTCACAGTTCATCATGGCTGGGGAGGCCTCAGGAAACTTACAAGCATGGCAGAATGCAAAGGAGAAGCAAGTCACCTTCTTCACAAGGCGGCAGGAAGGAGAAGTGCAAGCAAAGGGGGAAAAGCTCCTCATAAAACCATCAGATCTTGTGAGAACTCACTCACTATCATGAGAACAGCATGGGGGTAACTGCCTCCATGATTCAATTACCTCCCACTGGGTCCCCATCATGATATGTGAGGATTATGGGAACTACAATTCAAGATGAGATTTGGTTGGGGACACAGCCAAACCATATCATGGGGTCTCACTTTATTGCCCTGGCTGATTTCAAACTCCTGGGCTCAAGTGACCCTCCTGACTTGGCCTGCCAAAGTGTTGGGAATACAGACATGAGCTACCATGCCCAGTCCTAAAGTCTAAATTCTTAACATCTAAAATCCAGAAAATCACAATCACAGGAGAGTTGTACCACGTTAGTTGCATCATGTTAGGTACAACTCTTGCTTTGTTTTCTTCTTATTTGGAAATTATGTATGGTTTAAGGGGGTCCATATGGGTGCCAAATCTACAAGGGGTGGACTTGCAGACTTAATTTCAGGTGTCAACTTGACTGGATTAAGGAATCCCTGGAAAGCTGGGAAAGTATTATTTTGGGTATGTCTGTGATGGTTTTCTCAGAAGAGATCAGTGTGTGGGTCTGAGCGGACTAGGTGGGGAAGATCTGCTGTCAATGTTTTGAATGTCTTGAATATCACAGAAGTGAAAATGAAAGTAAAAAATGCACAAAATCTTGTCTGCCAAATTATGTAATCATGTACCAAGCACCTCTACACGTAGCACCATGCTTGTCTTCACAAAATGCCTTTTGTCAGATAATAAAAAGAGTTCAACAAATTCAGTGGCCTTCTGAACCAGACACCTGCTGGCACAGAGCTTCCTCCAGTGCTACAAGACATATTAAATCATGAACTATTCTTGATTAGGGATTTGACTGTCAAAAAAGATAAACATATTTATTTACCACTAAGTCTAACATAACAAAACTGGTGCATTTTTCACTTTGGCTGATGAATGGCACTTTCAAAACTGTCCCCAGTGGGTTTTTATAATCAACTTTATACAGTTTATGCCCCCAATGAATTACAAAATTCTATAATTTAATCTTCATGTTTATGGTTTAATAACTGGAAAAAGTGAAGTACTTTATAAAAGCTTATTTGAAGATTTGGAGGGCTTTGCAGAAGAAAATAGATTTCAATCAGATCCCCAAATTATAATGACAAGTTTTTAATTAGGTGTGATCAAGGCTTCTAAAAGTGAATTGCAAGTTGTTACCAGTAAAGTTTGTATCTTCCATTCAGCCCAGTTCATTTGCCAGAAAATTCAGGTGAGTGGATTGGCCAGGCCATATGGCAATGATGAAAATTTTAGTTTTAAAATGTGCCATTTGTCTGTATTGGCATTCCTTCCACCTGATAAAACTCCAGGAGCTTTTGATAAATTAAAACCACAATTGCCTGAAGAAGCCAGAAAAATTACATACTAGTTTGAAAATAATGATGTGCAAGGTGGGATAAGAAGTCATTCAGGCAACGGTGTTGCTGTTCAATCAAGAGTATTGTTTCTGCCAAATGAGTGGCCTGTATATGAGGGCCTGCAAAATGGATTTCCACATACTCAAAACAATAGACAAGAATGGCATAGAAGATTGGAAAATATAATAGGAAATGCTCATGTCAGTGTGTATCAAATTATAGAATTTCAAAAAGAGCAGTGCCACATAGAAAATGAATGTGAACATATTTTATGAGGAGAGTCAAATCCTAAAAACAAAAAAGGCATCATGATGAAAGACTTCAAAATACAGTTAATGATAATGAGAGTCAGCCAGCTATTATGAACTCTGCAATTGCCCATAATCTATCCATGTAATATACTTTTTATATGTCAATTTTCGTTTTAGTTGTTTCTTTTTCCATTTTTTCCACTATTTTAAATTGTCAGCATTTTTTACAACTTGGTATGCTATGTATTTCATCTTAGTATCATTTCCAATACTGGAGGTATAAATTTTGCAAAGACTTTTAGAGAGTTCTAATTTGTTTTATGCTTTTATTTTTGCAAATTTGACTCCACAAGAGTGCATTATCACAACACTGACTTTGTGTGTAAGCATTGTACCTGTACATAAAAACATTAAAGCTTCCTCAATAAATGAGAAGATATCCTTTTTGCACATTTGTATTTGGGAAAGAGAAAATTTCTCAAGATCTCAGCTCTTTGACTGCATATTAGATGGTGACCCATCCCAGCTTTTGATGAATCTGGTCAAAAGACTTAGGTTGTCTGTCACAGTATTCCAGATGACCTAAGTTATAAAGCTGAGTGCACCCAGTTACCAACCATGCTTTTATACATTTTGCTTTTTGACCCATTTCTTTACGAGTACAACTCATCTGCTCATTACTGTTATACCCATAAGACGCTCTTTAGCATACCTGAGTTTTATGCTTGCAAATATATGTATGTTATTATTGCCTATTGATTGTGTAAAGTAGCCTAGGAAGTGTTCTGTTGTGTTTTTATACGTTTATCAAATAAATTCCATCTTAAAAATATAAATAAATGCTTTTTTGTTGTTTTTAGACAGAGTCTCACTGTGTCGCCCAGGCTGGAGTGCAGTGGTGCGATCTCAGCTCACTGTAACCTCCACCTCCTGGGTTCAAGTGAATCTCCTGCCTCAGCCTCCCAAGTAGCTGGGACTACAGGCACCCATCACGATGCCTGGCTAATTTTTTGTATTTTTAGTAAAGATGGGGTTTCACCGTGTTGGCCAGGATGGTCTCGATCTCCTGACTTTTTGATCCACCCGCTTTGGCCTCCAAAAGTGCTGGGATTAAAGGTGTGAGCCACCACGTCCTGCCCAATAAATGCTTTTTAAAGAATGTGTTAATTTTTTTCCAGAATTGTATTTTCAGAATTTTGTTTTTTGAGGATTGTAATTTTCAGGATTTTAGACTGTACAGATTTAGATCTTTTGGGACTTCAACATTTGGGATTATGACGTTCAGGATTGTGTCTTCCTGGGCTGTGACCCAAACCCATGTGGTCCAACGCTATTTCACATGAGAGGAAAGCAAACCACGTGCACAGATGCAATGAAGGCTTAAATAGGCGTCATGTATTGATTATATCCCTGGAAAACATGATTAAGATGATACGTAGCGACTTTTTTTTTCCCCAGTGAAAAAGATCCACATTCTTTTTCTTGTGTGGAACTAAACACAATTTCTGAATCAATGTAAGTGAATGTGAATCACCATGTTCACTTAGCTGATGCTCCTTTATTAACGGGGATAGAAGGGACGTGATTCAAAGAGATGGCGGCACAGGACCCATGACCTAAGGAAGCTGCAGTGGGTGAAGGGGAGAAACAGAGGAGCAGGGGCTGGAGAAAGAGTGGGGAGTCATCAACTACCCTCCTTGCTCCCGGCATCTGGTGTTTGGAGCCCAGAGGTCTTCTCTAAGGCCTCGGAGAAGCTTCCAAGTCTGTTCATTTCTCTTTCCCCACCCCTGCTTGTATCACAAATAAAGAAATTATTGACAACTGAGTTCCTGACTAGGTGGCAGGATTTTAGGGATCCTTCACCTCGTCCAAACCTCATGAAGGTAGTGGGAGTCCCATGGGTTAGTTAGCAATAGTCCTTGAGATTATTTGTTCATATAAATAATCACAATACTCATAGTCATCTTGCTTTTCTCATAATGCCCAGCTGGGGGACGGTGGGGGCAGAGAGGACTGGAGTGAGAAGAGATAGAACAAGAGCTGGCTTTCATGTATGGGGCTCTCCAGAGCAATCAGGCCTAAGGACAATCAAGAGGGATCTTGAAGCAGCTCTGGCAAGGGCAGCCTGGACTCAGGCCCCAGCTTGCACCAAGCACGTCACCTGTCCAACTGGGAAGCCTAAGCAATGTGTTTCTGTTTTTGTTTTGTTTTCTGGTAAAGAATTCAATGTCGTTAGCTACATTCACAATGCTGTGCAATCATCACCACTATCCATTTCCAGAACATTCTATCATCCCAGACAGGAACTCTGTGCCCATTAGACACTAACCTCCTGCCAGCCCTGAAAACCTCTATTCTACTTTCTGTCTCTGTTAATTTGCCTGTTCCAGGTTCTTCATATAGATGGAATCACGTAGTCTGTGTCTGATGTCTCACTTAGCATAATGTTTTTAAGTTTTATCTATGTGGTAGCAAGTATCAGAATTTCCTCCCTTTTCAAAGATCACTAATATTCCATTTTATGTCTATACCACATTTTGTTTATCCATCTATCCCTCAATAGACTTTTTAGGTTGTTTCCACCTTGTGGTTGCTGTAAATAAGGCTGCTGTGATGCTGCAATGAACACAGGTGTAGCAGCCAGGTGTGGTGGCATGCGCCTGTAGTTCCTGCTACTCAGGCTTCTGAGGCAGGAAGATCCCTTGAGCCCAGGAGTTCTGGGCTGCAGTGTGCTGTGTTGATCAGATGTCTGCATGAAATTAGACATTAGTACAGTGACCTCCCGGGATAGGGGACTACCAGGTTGCCTAAGGAGTGGCGAACCGGCCAACAGGGGGGTCGCGCCCGTGGACAGCCCTGCAGAGGGGGTGGGGGGGAGGGGGGGTTGTCGCACCCGTGGACAGCCCCGCAGCAGGGGGCTCGTGCCCGTGGACAGGCCTGCAGCGCGGGGCGGGGGGGCGGGGCTCGCGCCCGTGGACAGCCCCGCAGCAGGGGATCATGCCTATAAACAGCCCCTGCACTCCGGCCTAGGAAACATAGTGAGACCCCATCTATTAAAAAAAAAAAGGGTACGGAGAGAACACAGGTGTACAAGTATCTATTTGAGTAACTGCTTTCCATTCTTTTGAAGATAGGTATAGGTAGATATAGATACAGATATAGAGATTTACAGATATGAGTGGGATTACTGAATCATATGGTAATTCTATGTCTAAATTTTTGAGGAACCATATGTTTTCCACAGCTGATGTACTATTTTTCATACCCACCCTCAATGCACAAGAGTTACAATTTTTCCACATCCTTGTCAGCACTTGTTATTTTCTGGGTGTTTTTGCTTTGTTTTGAGGCCAAATCTCCTTCTGTCTGCAGGCTGGAGTGCAGTGGCGTGATCTCGGCTCACTGCAACCTGTGCCTCCCAGGTTCAAGCGATTCTCGTGCCTCAGCCTCTCAATTAGCTGGGATTACACATGTGTGCCACCATGCCCGACTAATTGTGTGTGTGTGTGTTTTGTTTTGTTTTGTTTTTTGGTACAGATGAGGTTTCACCATGTTGGCCAGGTTGCTGTCAAACTCCCGACCTCAGGTGATCCACCTGCCTAGGCCTCCCAAAGGGCTGGGATTACAGGTGTGAACCAGCATGCCCAGCCCCTGATTTTTTTGTTTTTTCTTTTTTGATAGCAGCCATCTTAATGGGTGTGCAGGTGTGTGTGTGTGTGTGTGTGTGTGTGTGTGTGTGTGTGTGTGTGTGTTTTAATGTCACATTGGTGATTCTAATGTGTAACCAGCAAAGAAAAGCATGGATTCTGGGTCTCAATTTTTCATCTAGGTAAACCAGAGCAAATAAAACCTATCGAAGAGTCCTCCTGATGATTGAATGAGTTCCCCCATAGAAGGCAAAATTTACAAATGTTGGTTCCTCTCTTATTCCCTTGGAATTCTACTAAACTTCCTGCCTCAACATACAGAGAAACTCCCTGAAGCCTAAAACTATGCAGATTTGACATAGGGCTGATTTTAACTTCTGTTTTGCTTTTACCATATAGCTAGCTGCAGAGGTCACATGTGTCCTCCATGACATCTAAATAGCACTACACCTGCACCAGCTTTCCTCTCAAATTAACTACTCATCAGTTCTATTATTAAATAAACAGGGAGCAGCTGTAATACTCAAGGAGTGTGTGGGATTGTGCTTTAAAATTACATCTCTGCCAACACTTTGTTTGCTTGTTGAATAACTACAAGTTTTCCAGTTAAATTAATAGAATACATTATACCCATAAAATCCTGACATATTTGGCAATACACACAACAAAATATTTACAAGTAGAGAATATAATAAATGTATGACACTTTAGAAATGCATTGAGATAAGTTTAAACAGTGTTTACTTTTAATTGGTGTGCTTTCTTTCATCTCACAGTAATAAGCTATGGTTTAGTTTATCGGCTGAATACTCACTATGCAGTCCTTTGTAAAATTTTGGAGGTCCGCAGTAATGTGATTATTGAGCTTCAACAGAATACACAGAAGATCCCAGGAACCACAGACTAATCCATCCACTATGCAGTATCTAAAGTATTTGCAAAAATAAAAACAAACAACAACAAAAAAACACCTGAACAATTGACTCGTAGCAAAACTATCAGGTTAGTGCAAAAGTAATTGTGGTTTTGCCATTGAAAGTAATGAAAGTAATTGAAAGAATAGGTGTTCTAGCTGGACATTCTACAATGCATGCCACAACCATGGATCAATTGTGTATTGAAAACCCAAACCAACTGAGGATCACTGCTGTGCATTATTCCCATCGTGTCATAATGTGGCAAACTAAAACTAAGGACCCATAACAAGGGATTTTCAGAGGGAAAGCAAACATATTGGTTAAAGCAAACAAAACTGGCAATTTTCAATTTGCTCAAACTATTCACATAGTTTGTATGCTTCTCTACAAAATACAGAATTTTGATATAATTACCCTTAGGTAAAACTCTAAAGTGAGCAGCTTCTGATCAATAGGCCTCAACTCCTTTTCCCTTCTGTATCACAGACTGTGTGGGTGAATCCAACACATGACCTAATACGATTTGGCCAGTTGGGAAAGGTCTCTTTAAAGAACTAACCCTCAGGCTGGGATCTAGAGCAAAGCACCGTAAACTTGAATGTGCATAGGAACCACCTGGGGACCTTGTCAACATGCAGATTCTGATTCATTGGATCTAGGGTGGTGCCTGAGCTCTAGCAAGCTCCCAGGGATGCCTATGTGACTGCCTTGGACATCAGTTACAGTAGCAAGAATATAAGCAGATACCAGCCAACAAAGCAGGAGTGAACGCATCACGGCCCAGGCAGCCCTGGACCAGGCCAGCTCAGGGATCTGAGAAAAGAGTAACTGGACTGAGGTCTATGAGTGCTGCCATGAGAGGTGAGGCTGAGAAGGTGGACAAGATCTAGGTCAATGTGTTAAGTTCCTACTAAATGCAAGGCTAGGCTCTGCATAAACAGAAACAAATAAGGCAAACCTACTCCTTGCATCTTTAGAGCTTGTGGTCTAGCAGAATTACTTCATGGGTAGAAAATCATTAAAGATTTTTAAATGAAGGAGAGACATGATCTAATTGAAATTTTTGATGAACCTCTCTGGGTGTGCCATAGAGAAGGTATTGGAGAGGCAAAAAGTTGGAAAGAGGAGTATATGTTTGCAGACCAGGTGAAACATGCGGATGACAGAAGTGGATAATTTTAGCACATATTTTGAAGGTGAAATAACAGGACTTGGTTGCAAGTTGTGATGGTAGGGGGGTGGCAGGAAGAAGAAAGCATCAAGGATGATGATGCTTTCTGGAAGAAGCAAATGGGTAAATGGAGATAATTTTTACGAAGAATGGTAAGGCTGAAGAAGAAATAAACTAACAAAAGGGAAATGATTGAGGAAGTGGCATAGATTTGGGGGCAGAACTCAAGAGTTTTGAATTCTGATTTTAGGAATGCCTATGAAAATCCCAGTGGAGATTTCAAGATGGCAGGTGCACATAATGTTTTGGAGCTTGGGAGGAGAGCTCTGTAGGAGCCATATGCATATAAACAGTATCTAAAGCCATAGGAATTAATAAAACCTTGTCTAGAGTCTGTGTAGGCACGGGCGTCCAATCTTTTGGCTTCCCTGGGCTGCACTGGAAGAAGAATTGTCTTGGGCCACACATAAAATATACTAACATTAACAATAGCTGATGAGCTAAAAAAAAAAACATAAAAAAATCTATAATGCTTGACGAATGTTTACAAATTTGTGTTGGGCTGCATTCAAAGCTGTCCTGGGCCACGCGTGGCCCACAGGCCACAGGTTGGACAAGCTTAGTATGGAATAAGAACAGAAGAGGACCCAGGATTTAGGAACTTCAACATTTAAAGTTTGGGCAAAGAGGCAGGAGCTGATAAGAAAATAGTTCAAGCTAGAGGAAGAGATCAGGGGTCTACTCTACTGAATGTTTCTGAGACCCCATTGGACTTATATATTACATAATATGTACAATATATGTTACTTGGGTGATGGATACCCTAATAGCTTTGAACTGACCACTATGCACGGAACAAAACTGCACCTGTATCCCGTAAATTTTACATAAACAAAAGTAAATAAATAGAAGGCAGGAAGGGAGAAGGAGAAGGAAGGAAGGAAGGATGGAAGGAAGGAAAGAAGGAAGGAAGAAAGGAAGGAAGGAAAGAAAGAAGGAAGGGAGAGCAAGGAAAGGAAAGGAAAGGGAAGGGAAGGAAAGAAGGAAGGGAGAGTGAGGAAAGGGAAGGAAAGAAGGAAGGGAGAGCGAGGAAAGGAAAGGAAAGAAAGGAAAGGAAAGGAAAATAAATGAAAGGGAGGGAAGGAAGGAAGGAAGAAAGGAAGGAAGGAAGGGGGAAGAGAGAGAAAGAAAGAGAGAGAAAGAAAGAAAGAAAGAGAAAGGAAAGAAGGAAGGAAGGAAAGAAAGAGAAAAAGAAAAGAAAGGAAAGAAAGAAAGAAAAGAAAAGAAAGAAAGAAAGAAAGAAAGAAAGAAAGAAAGAAAGAAAGAAAGAAAGAGAAAGAAAAAGAAAGAAAGAAAGAAAGAGAAAGAAAGGGAGAAAGAGGACTAGTGTTCATGATGTTTATGAATCACCAATTCTGGGGGCACTGAATTGTGTCCCCCAAGATTCCTATGTTGAAGAGCTGATCCCCACTGCCTCAGAGGGGACTGATTTAGAGAAGGCCTTCAAAGAGGTAAGTGAGGTCAAATGAAGCCGTATGGGTGGACCCTAAACCAATATGGCAGGTGTCCATCTAAAAAGAGATTGAGACACAGGCAACACAGCCTGAGGACACAGCAGGAAGGGAGCCGTCTGCAAGGCAGCAGTTCTCAGAAGAAGGCAAACCTGCTGACATTCCATCCTGGATTTCCAGTCTTCAGAGCTGTGAGAAGATAAACCACTCAATCTGTGGCAGCTTGTGATGGAAGCCCCTAGCACTCTTATATGGTGACCTTAGCACAAGCAGTTTAACAGGCTTGGTGAAAGTGAAAGCCAAACTGACCTGAATAAAGAGTGAAAGGAAAAGGAGCAAAAGGAGACAGTAAGTGTGGAAAATCCTTGAGGAAAATTTGCCAAGAAAGGAGGAGATGGCTTGATAGCTAGAAAGACATAGAGAGTCAAAGGTAAGGTTTCTCCAAGATAGAAGATTTTTTTAAATGAAAAATTTATATTTAAATGCTGACAGAAGGCATCAAGGAGGAGAGAGATTGAAGATGCAGTTGACAAATGGAAAAGCAATGAACAGAATCCCTGAAAAGTCAGGAAAAGAAGGGAGATTATTAGAGGGATGTCCTTTTACAGTAAGAAGAATACTTCCTCCACCGCCCCAGGATTTAAAAAGCTTATAAATGACAGGTAACATTCTACCTAATTATAGAGCTTTACACTTTTCAATAAATTTTGTTGTACATGATACAGTCACTCTGTGAATTCAGTGAGACAGACAGTTATCCACATTTTACATAAAAAGAAAGAAAAGGCAGAAAAGAAGTGATTTGCTTGAAGTGACACAGAAACGGCTGGTAGAACCATGCACTGTGTAGATGGCAGGGCTCCTGACTTCTCATTTCACACCACAAATGTAGACAGAATTAGATATAATGACAGTTATTATATTTTTAAACCTTTCAAATAAGAATATCCTTAGATTTTCATTCATTAACAAAGCACGTGATTAGCATCTGAAAATGTTTTATTATACGATCACTAGACACCAAAAGAGGTTTCCATTTTCCTGTGTATTTGAAAGAGTTCAACAGCCCTAAGTCACACAGTTGGAGGAAACTCAAACAAGAGAAGGTTCGTTTGAAGTGATGAAATTAGCATGATGAAGTTTACAATACAAAGATTTTTGTTTCAAGACTCTGAGGTTTGGTAGGGAGGAAGGGGAAAGGCAGATGACACCAAATAGGACTGGTTGGAGAGGGGATGAGAAGCATCAATTAGAAAGCTCTTCAAATTCAAATGGACTGTTCAAACCATCCTAGGACTAGACTCCAATTGGGAAAGACTCTGAAGAAAATGATCTCCTACTCCCACGAGATGGCTAACGTGATTTAGGTAAAAAGCTTTTAGTTTTATGGCTGGGGAGGTAGCAATAAAGAAAATGAACTTCCTGCCAGTGATTCTTTGTCAAGCCCTGCCAATTTCTGTGTCTGGGGAAGCTATAAAGAATGTCCAGCCTCATGTCAAAAGAATTGCCACAGATCTCCAGCCTGCCTGCATTCAAGCATCGAAACATCCCTAAGCCTGTTCCCAGGCCAGCCTGGAATTGAGAATCCAGGAGAGTCTTTTCTGTTCTGCTGCTGCAGCTACACTATCTGCTTGTTAGCATAACCAGGGTCACCAGCAATAGATGCTAGAGAAATACACAGAGAAAAAATCAACAGCTGATGATAAGCAGAATCTTTTCTTTTTGGCAGCAATACCAATAGCATGAAGCACATCCCTTTTGGAGCTTTCCAAACCACTTCAAAAGCGAGTTTTCTGGTGTGGATCAAGAAAGCTAGGCAAATTGCCCCTGAGGGCATAGCCACTGGCCAAGATATTGATGAGTGTAGGCAGCTCAGGACCCATCCTCGGCCCCGGTGCTGTCTTTCTCAGAGCTCTGTTTAATTCCATCAGGCATGGGCAGCGTTTGGAGAAAGCTGTGTTCATTTTTGTGATCTTCAGCCAGCACGGAGGTGGCCAGTTCCCTAGCCTCCCAGCACCGTCCTCCTCCTGCCCTGCCCCTTCATGGCCTGCCTGGGCTCACTGGACCCACACTTGCCTTTCACCCCTGTCAAAGCCTCACAGTCCTGTGTGTCTGTTTCCCTTTGAACTACACAAACTAACTAATTTGGTGAACCCATTAAGTGAACTTCTTTATACTCATGGTCTAGAGTGCATTGAACGCTAAAGGGTTTGCTAGAGATTGTCAAAATCAATTCTGTCTTCTTCCAACTGGACCAAGGCTTCTTTGAGTTAACAAAACTGAGAAATCTGAGTTGATTTTTCGTAGTACCTCTTTCTATTCTTTTGGGGTTTTTTTGTTTGTTTTTTACTTATCATGGAGATTTTCCTTAATTTAACCCAAAAGATATACCCATATGACATTTGAACTAATATGAAAGAGGTAGTAGGACAAAGAATTTGAAGACAGCCTTTCAGAGCCCCACAAAGTACTTGAAGTTTATCAATAAACCCCTCCCAGTGTTTCCCACCATGTTCCACATTCCATCTCCATTTTTAGCCATGCAGCTTCAAGTGGCATCTCCTCCTGTGAAACCTACAGTTTGGAGATAAATTATTGATGACTAATGACTTAGAAGAACCAAAGAAAGGATCCTCTAGTGGAGACACAGCATAGAAATGGTGGTCCAGGGTGAGACAGAACTGCTTCCAATCCCAGTGCCACCTGTGTGGTTCCAGCTGTGTGCTGCTCTTCCTCTAATCTTGTTTACTCGTCTCCAATACGGGACTAATAACATATACATCAGACTATTGTGAGGGTTGAATGTAACAATATTCCAAATTGTTGCATGTGTCCAGTACTTAACACAGTGCCAAGAACAAAGCATGTATCAGTAAGTATGAATGGCCTTCCCAGCGCACACCTCCAAACAGTGGATTCTGGCCGATGACAGGCAATGGTTCCCCGCGGTCCTACAGGCCACGGTTTAACTTACCACTAGCCAATCAGTAAGTTTGCCTCAGACCACATCACGATTCTTTTGCAAGCCTGGAGCTTGGTGAAAAACAAGGGGGAAAATAATCCATGTCCCTAAGGCAGATGCTGAAAGATTTACCTCATAACATAATTCTCTCACCAGACTTGTTTCCTGAATGTCCATTTAAATTTTAATTCTGCAAATAAAATAAAATTGGTAATAATGAAAGTGATTAAGATGGTATTTGTCCAGGGAACCAATCTCCCCACAAGATACCTAAGAAAGAGATATATGTACAGAAAATGAAGCACAGTAAAATACCACTTCATTACTATCTGGAGATTTTCCCCAAACACAGAGAAAGCTCTACAGAGCTGAGCTTAAGGCAGAAGAACTCTGTTATTTACTTGGTCTAATGCCAAAACAGGCCAGAGACCCCTCTCACTTACTTCTCTTTAATCCCAAACCCATGTCTCAATTTGGTCTAAGAAAGAGCCGAACACCCAGGAGGCACCAGGGTAGAGAAAAGCAGCCAGCCAGAGAGTGGCCTCCATGCCAGGGGAGTGTGTCTGAGCTTTGTTTTATTTTTCTTATTTGTCTGTAGTTGTGTGATTGGTAGAAGAGAGTAGATATGAAGTCTACTGACACAGGATTGGTCTTCAGGCATGTCTTACCAAGCATAGGGGTTCCACAAATAAGAGAGCAATGATCAGACTTTCTTCTAAAAGGAGCAGCCACAAGCTACCTTAACTCTCCAACTTGCCCATAAATCTTCACCTACAGTTAGGAAGATTTCACCATTAGCTGTGGCCCATAAAAGATCCTTAAGCTTGACCAACCACAGAGGTCCATCTCCTTGAGGAGGAAGTGAAAGGGGTATGGACAGAAGCTGTGAGCTTTCTGTCCTCCACAGGCCCCCAGCTGTGTCTTCTACTTCTTGTACAAGATAGTCTCCAAATGATGTTTTCTGGCAGACAATGCCACAGAACTGATCCTTATCTCACTATGGAAATGAAAGATTTCAAAGAATTTGTTGCCTGAAATATGGTGCCCTAATCACATATTAATAAAGCTGCTATCCAGGAAGAAGGCAGATTTCAAAAGAAAGGCTGTTAGCCTTCTCAGGGACCTAAAAAGTACATATTGTAGAACAATGGTAAATAGATCTTGGAATCAGGTAGACTTTAATTCAAGCCCCAGCTATGCCAGTTATTAACTTATGTGACATTGGGAAAGGCTCTCAAATTTAGTTTTGCAAAATCAGAATAATATAGGTAGCCAACAAATAGGGTTTAATGGAGGTAATAATGAAGGTGATTAAGATGATAAAATTAAATAATGAATATAAAGTGCTTAGCATGTAATAAATTTTATTGTATGATTTCAAAGCACATGCTTTACCTACAGTGCTATAAAGCTGCTTGCAATAGTCAAAGCTAATAGAAGCTCTAGTCAGAGCTAATAGAAGCCTTGTGTATGTAATTATTTAAGAATTCTGTAAATATACATAATAGGGTAGGAATGAGAAAATCTTTAGAGGAAATATTCAAATATGCTTGGTTTCTAGCAAATCCAGATAGACCGTTTTGGCAACAACCAAGTCATAATTTTAAGTCTTGTTATAGGAGCTAGAATTTTATTCAAGGGGCAACTGATTTGATTAGATAAGATGCTGTGGACTGCATGTTTGCATCAACAAATGCACATGTTGAAACTCTAACAATAGAATGGCATTAGAAGGAGGACCTTTGGGAAGTAATTTGGTTTTGATGAGGATGGAGTTCCCACGATGGGGTTAGCATCCTAATAAGAAGAGAAGGAGACTAGAGCCCTCTTCTCTCAGCCATGTGAAGATACAACAAGAACACCTGCAAACCAGTAAGAAGGCCTTCACCAGACACTGGCTCTGCTGGCCCAGATTTTAATCTTTGATTTCTCAGAACTGTGAGAAACAAGTATGTGCTGTTTAAGCCACTCAGTCTACAGTTGTTTGTAACAGCAGCCTGAGCAGACAAAGACATAGGGTTCCTTTTATTTTCAGAATTCGGTTTAGCTGTAATCACCTACCATCCTGAAATGCTGTTTCCTCCTTCTGCCCTTGAAATATAAGCTCTGGGACTACAGCTTCATGGACAAATTCTGAAGAATTTGTCTCTGCTCCTGTGGGATGCTAACCTAACCAATCAAGGAATGTTTGCTCAATGGAATGAAACATCTTAATGCAGCTTGCCAGCCAATATCTGCAGAGCACACCTCATGGGTTCTGGCTGGCTTGGATTTCTGAGACTACTTCATCCTACCCATCAGACTGTGGACTCAGATTCAGCCAGAAGGCCTGATTCTAGCGTCAGTTTTGCCTTTGGGATATAAATGCATGCCCTGCTTCACTGAACATGAAACCCTGAATATTTGGCCATTACTCTGGCAATTGCCCTCCCTCCCTGTGCCAATTGCCAGTCAACCCAACTCCCAGGCAGCCTTGGCAGTTATGTCTGCTCGGCCTGCTGTAGCAGCCAATGACTTAGTAAAAGTCAGAACATAGATCTGCTAGCTCCCAGTCCAGGATTTCCCCTTAACTCATCCATGTATATATTAAACAACTAGGCTTGCTTTTAAATTCTTTTTCATTTAGCCTCTTCTTAGAACTGATCATTTTGAGAATCCTGACCTGCCAATATTCCATAATCTTTCTAAAAGTGACACAGCAAATACGACGCATGCACAGTGCTAACTGCAGCTGATTTCATTTTTCCATCATCTATAAAGCACATAAGGTAATTTCTAAACCAGCAGTAAAATCTATGTATAAAGAATGCTGATTTGTTTTCTGCACTTTCCAACACAGAGCTTCAATTTATTTCCTTACCATAAAAAAACCATTACTTTTTAAAACAATCATAGTTAGTATATTTTATAAATGTTTTAATTTTTGTAAAGTCCAACTTGCAAATTGGAGTGTAAATAGCTTTCTTAAAATGGAAGGAACCGTGTTAGACCCAGTATGCTGACTGATGATTTCACTGTGCTTCAAAGCAGACGATTTCACAGTCATTCGGTAATGAGTTTTTATAAAGCAATTGATATCACTAAAAATATAATTATAATAAATAAAATTATAGGAAAAAGGAAATCTTCATTCAGACAATGCCAAATTTTTTAACTCATTGCTAAAAGATTATGTTTGTACATGAAAAATTTTACACATTCTTTCTATGAGATAAACCTGATAACACCTTGAAAACTTAATAGTTATGGAAAAGGAACTACTGTGATATTTTTTAGAGAATGTCGTGTTCTTGATGTTCTTGAGTGAGCTGTCTCATGTTATTAGAAGGGAAACAGCACCACCTTGTGGGGAAACAACACCGCCTTGTGGACAAACAAAGAAAGTGAATGAAATTTTAGGGCCGGGTGCTTAATCCCAGCACTTTTGGGAGACCTGGGAGGAGGGTAACTTGAGCCCAAGAGTTCAAGACCAGCCTGGGCAACACAGTGACACACCCATCTTTACCAAAAATTTGAAAAATTCGCTGGGCTTGGTGGCTCATACCTCAGGTCCCAGCTACTTGGAAGGCTGAGGTGGGAGGATCGCTTAAGCCCTGGAGGTCAAGGCTGCAGTGAGTGTGATCATACCACTGCATTCCAGCCTGGGTGACACGGCAAGACCCTAGCTCAAAAAAATTATGTTTATGTAGCACTTCCTACAAGGAATATAGTATCTTGTTTGTATTTAAATGACATCGGGACCAGCATGGTGGCTTACAGCTGTAATCTCAGCTCTTCAGAAGGCAGAAGGCAGGAGGATCACTTGAGGCCAGGAGTTGGAAGACCAGCCTGGGCAGCATAATGAAATAATAATAATAGTAATAAAAAGCTAGGCGTGCTGGCACACACCTGCAGACCTAGCTACTGTGGAGGCTGAGTGGCAGGATCGCTTTGAGACCAGGAGTTTGATTGTATTGCGTATTGTGAGCTACGATCGAGCCACTCCAGTCCAGACAACACGGCAAGACCCAGTCTCTAAACAAAATAAAGGGACATCAGAGCATTGCTTACAGAGATTTATAAATGATCCCAAAATGTCTTCAGGGAGATAAATTATCTAAATATAGCTACATCGACTCTTCCTAAATTCCAAATTTGGGTGGAAAAAATAAATGAGATAGAAGACTTCTTGAAATGTATCAAGACTCAGGAAGACAAAACAAAAACTTTCATTAGGCAGCTAAAGAGGAAATCCCAGCGACAAGAAGCCAAAGGAAAGGGAAAAGAAATGACAACAATGACCATACTTTCTACACATCCAACCTCTTCTCTACCACCACTCAGCAAGACCTCCCACAGCCAATCACTGCTTTCTCTTGCGGACTTACCCTCTACTCTGTGAACACATGAGCCAGAGAACCCTGAGAAGTCCCTGGGTCCCTTCCAGGGGCTCTGCAAGGTCAAAACTCTTTTCATAAAAATACACAGGTTTTGTTGACCTTTTCCACTTTCATTCTCTCACAAGTATAATTGGAGTTTCCCAGAGGCTACCTGACGTGGGATGTCACAAGAAATTAAATGTAGAAGCAGAAAGGAGAACGAAGTTTTCTTCTATTAAACCAGACATTAAAGACATACTTAAAAATATAAAACAATGTCAATGTTCTCACCAACTTTACTGTTTAAAAATCATAACTTTAAATAAAAATGTGATTTATGTAAACATATAAGTATTTTTTTAATTTCTCAGCTTTAATGTTTAATATGATAAATATAGATAGATATAATCCAAGTAAATAAAAGCTCTTTGGGGTCCTCAATAACTTTTAAATGTAAAGTGGTCCTGAAACCAAAAATTTGAGGACAGATGCTCTAAAGCTCATACTCTCTGATGTAGCTTCCACCCAGGTCATTTCTTAAATACTTGATCAATCATTTCCCATGTCCCTCACCCTATCCTTGTTGCAAAATTCCATTTTCCTACTCTAGCCCTCCCTGTCATGAGAAAGTTCCCAGGTTGTAGACATTATTTACTAAATATTTCTTAACAGCTTTATGATGATAACATGACATATAAAAATTGTGTAAATTTAAGGTAACTTAATGTTTTGATATTTTATACTTCTTGAAATGATCACCACAATCAAGCAAATTAGCATATTTATTATCTCTACATATTTACCATTGTGTGTGTTGACAGTAATTAATTTATGATCTAGTCCTTTAGCAGAACACAAGAATATGACACAGTGTTGTTCCATGTTGTACATTATATCTCCAGAAATTATTATAACTTGAACTTTGTACAATTTAACCAACATCACCCCGTTTCCCCTCCCTGAGCCCCTGGTAACCACTGTCCTATTCTCTGTTTTTATGAATTTGACTGTTGTAGATTCCTCATGTAAGTGAGATCATGAAGTATTTTTCTCTGTGTCTTGCATTTTTGCTTGGTGCAATATCTTCCAGCTCCATCCATGTTTTCACAAATAGAAGGATTTCCTTCTTTTTTAAGGTTGGATAATATTTCATTTTATATATACATGCCACATTTTCTTTACCCATTCATCTGTTCCTCTGCCAAAGGACATTTAGGTTATTTTCATATTTTGGTCATTGTGTGTCATGCTGCAATGAACAGGGGATGACAGACACCTCTCTAAGACTCTTATGTCAATTTCATTGGACATATATCCAGAAGTGAAATTATTGGATTGTGGCAGTTCTTTTTTTTATTTTTGAAATGGGGTCTCACTCTGTCATCCAGGGTAAAGTCCAGTGGCAAGATCATAGCTCACTGCAGCCTTGAACTCCTGGGCTCAAGGGATCCTCCTACCTCAGCCTCCCAAGTAGCTGGGACTACAGGTGTACAACACCATGTCTGGCTAATTTTAAATTTTTTCAGAGATGGGGTCTTGCTATGTTACCCAGGCTGGTCTGGAGCTCCTGGACTCCTGCCTTAGCTTCCCCAAATCCTGGGGTTACAGGTGTGAGCCACCACACCAGGCCAGTGCTAGTTTCAATTTTCTTTGGAGGAACCTCAATACTGTTTTCTGTGTTTTACTAATTTGCATTCCCATCAATAGTGTATAAGGGTTTCCTTTTCTCCACATTCTCACCAACACTTATCTTTGGCCTTTTTGATAATAGCCATTTTGACAGGTGTGACCTGATATCTCATTGTGGTTTTGATTTGCATTTCTCTGAAGTTTAGAGATGTTGAGCACATTTTCATATACCTGTTAGCCATTTGAATTCCTTCTTTTGAGATATATTTATTTAGATTCTTTGCCTTAAAATAAAATTAGGTTATTTGTAATTTTGGAATTGATGTGTATGTGTCCTTATTTTTTGAACTCCTTATAAGAGATATGGTTTACAAACTTTTTCCCCATTTCATAGGTTGCCTTATCATTTCATTAGTTGTTTTCTTTGCTGTGCAGAAGCTTTTTAGTTTGATGTAATTCATTTACCTATTTTGCCTTTGTTGCCTGTGCTTTTGGCATCATATCTAAACAAATTATTGCCAAGACCAATGTCAAGAATGTTTTCTCCTGTCTTCTTCTAGGAGTTTTATGGTTTCAGGTATTGCATTTAAATGTTTAATCCATTTTGAGTTAATTTTTATGTATGATGTGAGCTAGGGATCCGATTTCATTGTTTTGCATGTGGACATCCAGCTTTCCTAACACCATTTGTTCAAGAGCATATCCTCCCCCTATTGTGTCTCCTTGTCACCCTCCAGGGTGATCAATTGCTGCAAATGTGTGGGTTATACCTAGGTTCTCTATTTTGTTCCACTGGTTTATGTGTCTGTTTTTATGCCAGTACCACAGTGTTTTCCTTTCTACAGCTTTGTAATTTAATTTGAAGTCAGGAAGTGTGATACCTGTAGCTTTGTTCTTGCTCAAAATTGCTTTGGCTACTCAGGGTTTTTTGTGATTCTATATGAATTTTAGGATTATTTTTTCTATTTCTGCGAGAGACACCATTGGGATTTTGATATGGATTACATTAAATGTGTAGATTGCTTTGAGTAATATGGACACTTTAATAATACAGTACTCACTCTTTCAATCCATGGGTTGTCTTTCAATTTACTTCAAATTTCCATCATCAATCTTTTGTAATTTGTAGTGTTTAAGTCTTTCACTTCTTTGGTTAGTTAATTCCAAAGTAGTTTATTTGATATTGTTTTTTAAATTTCCCTTTCAGACAATTCATTGTTAGTGTTTAGAAATAGCAATGATTTTTGTATGTCTATTGTATATCCTACAACTTTAATAAATTTATTATATAGTCAGTCCTTCATATTCATGGGTTCTGCAACCATGAACTCAACCAACCATGAACCAAACTTGTACATATTTTCCATCTGTGGTGGTTTGAATCCACAGATGTGGACCCATGGATACACAGGGCCAACTGTACATGATTTTACATGAGGGAGTTGATCATCACAGATTTTGTTATCTGAGGGGGTCCTGAAACAAATCCCTGGCAGATATGAAAGACTGACTGTATTATTTCTAACCAATTATTTCTAACCATTTTCTGTGGAGTCTTTAGAGTTTTCAATGTATAATAATCATGTCTTCTGTTAACAGAGATAACTACATCTTTCCTTTCAATTTTGATGCCTTTTATTTCTCTTGCCTGATTTCTCTGGCTAGGACTTCCAGTACTATGTTGAATAGGAGTGGTGAGAGTAGGCATCCTTGTCTTGTTCCAGATATTAAAGAAAAAGCTTTCATTTTTCCCCATTGATTATTATATTAGATACAGGTTTTTCATATACAGCCTTTATAGTGTTGAGGTAAGTTTCTTCTATACCTATTTTGTTGAGAGTTTTATCATGAAAGTATGTTGAATTTTGTCAAATGTGTTTTCTGCATCTATTGGAATGTTATTTTTGTCTTTCATTCTGTTAATGTGGTATATCACATTATTAATTTTTACACATTGAACCATCCTTGCATCCCATAGATAAATTCCAATTAGTAGTTTATTGAGAATTTTTGCATCTATATTCATTAAGGATACTGGTCTGTAATTATTTTTTCTTGTGTTGTTTTCATCTAGCTTTTAAGTCATGGTAACATTGGCCTCATGAAATGAGTTTGGGAGTATTCTCTCTTCTATTTTTTCTAAAGAGCTTAAGAAGTTTTGGTGTTAGTTCTTCTTTGACTGTTTGGTAGAAGTTGCCCATGAAAGCATCTGCACCTGGGCTTTTCTTTGTTGGGAAATTTTTTATTACTGATTGAATCTCTTTGCTTGCTTTTGGTCTGTTCTATTTCTTTTTTGTTCCAACTTGGTAGATTGCATCTTTCTAAGAATTTATCCATTTCTTCTAGGTTATCCAATTTATTGGCATATAATTGCTTAATTGTCCTTTATAATCATTTGTATTCCTGTACATTTGTTATAATGTCTCCATTTTCATTTCTGATTATATTTACTTGAGTCTCTCTTTTTTTCTTAATGTAGCTAGGGGTTTGTTATTTTTGTTTTTATTTCCAAAAATACAACTCTAGCTTTGTTGATTTTTATATTGTTTTTTATTTTAAAGTTATTTTATTTATATTCTAATCTTTATTATTTACTTCATTATGCTAACTTTGGGCTTAGTTAGTTCTTCTTTTTCTAACTGTTTATTTGTAAAGTTAGGTTGTTCAATTGAGATCTTTCTTATTTTTTAATGTAGGTGTTTATCACTATAACATTTCCCTCTTAGCACTTCTTTTGCTGCATCCTGTAAGTTTTGTTGAGTTGTATGTTCATTTTTGTTTGTCTCAAGATACTTTTAAAATTCCCTTTTGATTTCTCCTTTTACCCAATGGTTGTTCAAGAGTGTGTTGTTTAGTTTCTGCATTTTTGTAAATGTTTCTGTTTTCTTTGTTATTGATTTCTAATTTTATTCCATTGTGGTCTGAGAAGATACTTGGCATTATATCAAACTTCTTAAATTTGTAGGATGCCTTGTGACCTAAGATTTGATCTATCTCAGAGAATGTTCTGTGTGCACTTGAGAAGAATGTATATTCTGATGCTGTTGGATGGAAAGTTCTGTATATGTCAGTGTTTAATGTACCATGTTGTTCAAGTCAGCTGTTTCCTCTTTTTTTTCTTTTTTTTCCTGCCTAGATGTTCTATCCATTATTGCATTTGGGGTACTGAAGTTAGCTACTATTCTTTTATTGTTACTGATTTCTCCCCTTAGCTTTGTTGATATTAACTTTATATATTTAGGTGTTCTAATGTTGGGTGGATACATAATCTTCCTGTTGAAGCGAACTTTTATCATTACATAATGACCTTCTTAGTCTCTAGTGACAGTTTTTGATTTCAAGTCTATTTTTTCTGATCTAAGTATAGATACCCTTGCTCCTTTTTGGTTACCATTTGTGTAGAGTGTCTGTTCCCATCCCTTCACTTTGAGCCTCTATGTATCTTTATATCTAAAGTGACTCCCTTATAAATATGTACTGATGAGTATCTTTTATGCATTGTGCCACTCTATGTCTTTTAATTAGATAGTTTAATCCTTTCACATTTAAAGTCATTGTTGATAGGTAAGGAGTAACTTGCATTTTGTTAATTGTTTTTCATATGTTTTGCAGTTCTTTTTTTTTTCCTCTCTTGCTGTCTTCTTATGTTTGGTTATTTCTTGTAGTGGTTTGGTTTCTTTTCTTCTTCTTCACATTTTGTGTATCTCCTATAAGTTTTTAATTTGTGGTTGCAAATTAACATCTTCTATTAAAAGCTGTCTTAATGTTATCAGCTTTTTTGGAATCATTTTCTTTCTCTTCCCTCTTCAGACATATTTGCAAATAGTCTGTTTTTCAAGACACGAGTAAATAGGGCTCTGGTTAGAAATTTATCAATATGGAAAAAAAAAGATCCTCTGAGTCTTTTGATAAGTTAGAAAATAATGATAGACTGTGGCAGAATGTCATGTATTTCAAGTATTTCATCTGTGTTACTCTGCAATATATTTTCTGTGTGTATTTGTCAATGTTATATATTTATAAGGTAAATCCATAAAGCATACATTCTAGAATCTCCTAACTTAGGTCCTTAAGAGATATGCTCCTTATAACCTTCTTGGCACTCTTGAAGTGTTAAATATTTCCATTGAAGAAGGTTGCATATGGTTTCTGAGATGAAGTCTAGACAGGTTACGATTATTTTTTGTTCCTTTTGCCCACACAGCACCCACTGTCCCCTCCCTTTGTTATTAGCCTTTATCTGATACCCTAGATGAAGCCACCTTCTGTCCTTCAGTTTTGGCGTGGGGGCTGATTTCACCCCCAGTTTCAGGAATAAGCACAGGACAGCTACTAACAAGTATGTTGTTCACTCAAGGAAGAAACCCAGCTAAGGGAGAAAGGGGGGCTGAAATCCGGCCTACATGCTCTTCTCCAAGCCACATGCCCCGATACAGGGCTGCATCTAACTGCAGAAAGGGTAGCCATTTTCTAATACTTGCAAAGGCACTGTGTGGACAGTGCAAACTCTGTATGAGCTCATGACACAGGCCTGGCCAATAAATATACTTCTAATCCTGGCACAGATCAGACTAGAGACGGACATGAAATCCAAGCGTCACACCCAAAGTCAATCTCTAGTCTCTTATTGAGACTATTAGAAGTGTTTCTGTGTTTGCTTTATTCTGGGGCTGTGGAACTAAGGAAGTGTAAACTGGAGGAGTGATGATGGCCACATTGCAGAACAAAGGGAAAACTTGTCTGAGAATAAAGTCAATGGGGAAGAAAAAAGCAAGAAAGCTGAGAAGAGCTAAGTCCTGAGTCCCTACGTTCAGCCATTCTGAAGCTACACCCTGGATTTTTCCATTATACGAGTCCACAAATTAATATTTTTTTTTTGGCTTAGACCAGTTTGAGTTTGAATTCTATTATTTATAACCAAAGGAGTCCTACCATATTATCATAGCTGGATTTTCATAAACACGGTATATGTTGATCAACAAACTTCCTAGATGTTTCAAGTTCACTCCGAAGAGTGAGGGGAAAAAGAAAAGAAGGGAAGAAAATGGTTACTTATCATCCACAGTAGTCAAGGAAGCTACAGAAGCATCAAGCAAAAGCAGCGGAAGTTAGCTTTGTACTCTCACAAACCCTGCTCTGAAGTACTCCGCCTAGTGGCCCACAGCAGAAGCTGCATTTCTAAAATCTTTAAAAAGATAGAACAGGAATCACCACTTACCCTGGGAACCCTAATAGGTGAGCAGGCCACATGGGAATATGTCCCATTGGTTTGAGGTAGATAAGTCCATTTTCAAAGCGGTAGTAATTCCGGAAACAAGAACATATTAATTTTACTTTGATCACACAATGCCTAGTTATATTAAAAGTAAAGAGACATTCAATAAATACCTTTTATGGAAATAAAAACAGACAATTTAGGAGAGAATTAACTATCAATGCGTTATTTTCAAAGGTAAAGAAAAAAGAAATTATTCTGAATGCACAAAACTATTTTATCAAATATCATGGTAAATTATCATTATATACTAGGTCACTTAATAAATTTCCAGAGATGATTGTAAACAGTTTCCACAATAGATTTTGTTTCACCCCAGGAAGTTTCACAAAAAGTTAGTTACTTATCTCCATTGTTACTAGTGCCAACTAATCCTATCATTCTGAGTCAAATTAAAAATAACATCCACACTTTTCTCCAGTGAGATCACAGGAGATGCCTAAGTGGAGTGTGTTTTAATGTGAGGGGATAATTGGTTTATATTTTTCACTGACAATAACAAATAAATTCTAGACAACTTAAGCAAAATAGGAATTCAATGAAAGGATACTGAATAGTTCACAAAATCACTGAAGATGCTGGAGAAGCAAGGTAAGAGCTGAGGGAAACTTGGCACAGCCAAGTTCATCCTACGGAAGCAGATCTTGGGATGCCACAACTAGGATGTTGCCATTTGACACTCATCACCATGTAGCTGGGCTCTGCTGAACTTAGGCACTTCCTGCCACATTCCTGGACCTGCATCTCTGCTCAGTTGCTCAGAATCATCTCTGATTCTTTCAGGTCTTTTGCATCATTTCGTCGGGTTCCAAGTTCTAATAAAGAGACATCCATTGGCTGGGCCTAGATATGTGCCCACACTTGAGTGGCCAAGAAACTGGAAAAAGGATCATGCACTCCCTTTCAGCTTTTGTAATGGAAGGTGGGGCCTGTCCTCATACTTTGCTTGGGGTTCAAAAAACTAGGAAGGGTGTTTTGTTGAAATGAAACCCAAAACTATAGCTATCCATTTATAGCACCTTATTAGTACAGGAAAAAACCATTAGACAAAATGTATAAAAGTGCATGGGAGGTCTAAACATATGAGGGGGTTTCTGAGGAGAGGAAGATCATACTTGATTGGTGCTGTGGTTTCACTGTGCCTCCTCCGAGATTCAGCGTTGACAATGTGATAGTGTTGAGGTGGAGCCTACAGGAAGTGATTAGGCCATCAGGACTCCTACCTCAGGAATGGGTTTAGGAGCCCTCATGAAAGGGCTTCATGGAGGGAGTTCATTCCTCTTGCCCTCCCACCTTCCACCATGTGAGGACACAGTGTTCCTTGACTCTGGAGGATGCAGCATAAAGACACCATCTTGAAAGGAGAGAACAGCCCTTACCAAACATCAGACCTGCCAGCACCTTGATCTTGGACTTCCTAGTCTCCAGAACTGTGAGAGATAAATGTCTGGTTTTCATAAATTGCCTAGTCTCTGTTATTTCACTATAAGAGCATAAATTGACTAAGACAACTGGGGATTAGAAAAAGTAATATGAAGCGGCATTTGAGAAGGGCTTGATAGATAAGATCTCTACAAATAGAAATAGAGAGATGGTTTCACATCACCCAGGTGAAGGGAATAACATAGCCATGTTCAGTCTGAATGCAAAATGGAGATGGTAAAAAAAGTACATAGGATTCCACCACCAGTGGGAGGACAGAATTGCAATGTGGCAGCAATCTGTAAATTAAAATATTTATCACTCATTCCCATTTATTTAGAGTCTAATGTGTTCTAGGCTCTGAAATTAAGCAAAGAAAATCTAGATATGAGTAAGTCCAAGACTTTGCCTTTGTGACAGTCAAAATAATGACCCCATAAAGATGTTCTAGTCCCTGGAATCTGTGACCATATTACTTTACATGGGGCAAAATGGATTCTGTAGATGTGATTAATCCTTGAGTTAGGGGGATTATCCTTGATTATCTTGGGGGCCAATCTAATTGCATGTGTCTATAAAATCAGAGAATCTTTCCTAGCTGCAGTCAGAAGGTGACATGACCACAGAATATAAAATCAGAGAATCTTTCCTAGCTGCAGTCAGAAGGTGACATGACCACAGAACAATGGTCACAGATATCCCACATTACTGGCTTTGAAGATAGAGGGATGGTCCTATGATCCAAGGAATGGGGACAGCATCTACAAGTTGGAAAAGGAAATGGATTCTCTCTAGAGCCTCCAGAAAGCAATACAGCCCTGACAATACCTTGAGTTAAGCCCAGTAAGACCACGGTCAGAGGTTTGCCCTACAGAACTATAGGGTCGTAAGTCTTTGATTTAAGCCACAAAGTTGTGGTAATTTGTTATGGCAGCAATAGAAAATTGATTTTAAGGAGTTTATTGTTTGGAAGATAGGCAGACCAGAAAATCCAAATTATAATATAATTCGATTAAAACCTATGGAGATTTGGGCTAGGTGTTTTAGAAAAGAACTGAGTATTAACAAGACTAACAGAAGAAATTGTTCTAAAATTTACACACTAAGTACATCACATTTTTCTAATGATCACATTGATAGAGCAACTTAGAATCCATGCTTTCAACAAACCAACAGGCTTATATACATATATATATAATTTTATATATATATAATTTTATATATATATAATTTTATATATATAATATATAATATATGGAATAGCCCCACGGGCATGGGCAGCCCTGGGCCACAGGGCAGCACTGTACTAGCAGCCCACACCCCACCTTACCTGCCTACCCTGAGCTGACTTGTCTGCTAAATGCTAAATAAACCTGTCAACCTGTCGGGTTTAACTCAGAAGGGCCTGGATGCAACAAGCCTGAGGGCTGTGACTGGGGTAAGAGAGAGCACAGACGGAGCTCCTCCTCCTTCCACCACTGCCCACCAGCTGAAAACCACCAACTGAAGTTTGCTAAGATTCTCAGCCTACACCTTGTTCCCAACAAAACTCATGCAATACTTTGGCCCCCACTACAATCTCTTGAATAAAATATTCTACGGATCTGCTTTTTGAGCTGCAAGTTATCTTACTAAATTCCAAGAAGCTCATGTAAGAGAAAACCACCACATAATATAAGATTTTCAATGTGATCATCATTGCTACTTTTAACTAGAAAATATCCAGTAAATGTATTGTGAACTGCTTTGTGACTATGGTGATTTATTTAGTCTTTCTGATCCTTGGTTTGATTATCTCAAATATATAAGTATCACCAATTTTATAAAGTTGCTCTAAAAATTAAATGAGAGAAAAATAATTCTCCTTCTCCATATACTGAACACTTACAAAATTATAGGCATTGTGTCCAGGTTTTTACATACTTACCTGATAGAAGTCTCCTAACAACCCTCTCTTTTAAATTACAAGCATTTTGCCACGATTTTTACACATGTATGTTATGGAGGCCTCGCAACAATCACATCTTTTATAGGTGAGCAAACTGAGGCTCAGACGAGTTAAAAACACATTCACCATCAAATCATAATGAGGGACGGAACTGGGATTCAAATCCAGTTCTCTCTGATGCCAAAAATGGTGCAATTTAACAAGGACCAAGTTACACCCAGAACATGGAGGGATCATAACATGTGGATTCCCTTTTCTGCCCCCTCATGTGGGAATTTCAATAGCTTTCACTGCCTCAGAGCAATCCTAAACTCCCTCCCAGGTGCCTTGCAATGGCCCCCTTATTCGTGGGGGTGATTAGGAATCTGCATTTTTGGACCACGAGCATCCATAAACAGTTGTGTTGATCAAGAAATAAAATTTTCTAGGCCATAGGTTACTGTGAATTGTCTAGCTTCTCTGCAAAAAATAAAGGGGCTATTCCATGTAAAAAAATCACAGGATCCACTGAATTTGTGCAGAAAAACTTAGAACTATACCGCAGGAGGATCTTACTGACAGCTGTGCCTGAAGACCAGCCCAACCACACAAAGCAATAGCACCTCCAATGGCCAGGTGTGGTGGTTCTTGCCTGTCATCCCAACAGTGTGGGAGGCCAAGGTGGGTGAATCACTTAAGGCCAGGGGTTTGAGACCAGCTTGGGCAACACAGTGAGACCTTGTCCCTACAAAAAAATCATTTTTTATTATTAGAATCAAGAAGAGTACCTCTAACCCCCTGTCATTGCTTTAGGGTAGAGAGCTCTGGTCTAGAACTCAAGATATGAAATTGTGAATCCCAGTGTAGCTACTTAAGCTTAAATTCAAGAGCTGCCAGACATTTCCTCTACAGCAACGAAATCTGTAGCATCCATTTTGTATTTTGAAAACTTAGTTTTTGGCCAGCCTCTGGGAACAAAAGGACCCAGAATTGGGCATTTGGGTAGGGAGGGAAAAAGAAATCGGCTGGATGCAAAAGGGGAAGACGAAGGGGTGGGGACGCCAGGCAGAGCCAGTCCTCATGCTTGGGGCCTGGACCTAGGAAAGGAACTAGGTGAAGAAGGGAGGAGCCCCAGGCTGTGGATGTCTCTGGGGGAACCTTGGTTCAGCAATGGCCAGAGGAGGTCCTGAGGCCAAGCGGTATCTGTCGCCTCCTTACCTTTGGGTGTCTTCTGGTCGCCAATGTGCTGCAGGTCATGGCTCCGGAATCAAATTGGGCTCAAACGGGGCAAGCTCCAACACAGTGGAGCCTGGCGCTACTCCCACCTCCACCTTGCGGATCTCAGAGCTGCAGGATGGCTCTGCCCACCGCACCCTGAGCTGGCCCCGCTTGGGGCTGGCATTGGGGGACAGTGTGTTCTGGGCGTCTCTGCTCCTCTCTGCTGGTGCCTGTGCCTCTGCTGGCCGCCCACTCATAGATGTCAGAGCCACAGGACGGCCCCGCAGAATCCCTGCGCTGACCCTGCCGGGGGCTGGCTTTGGTGCACATGCAACTCGTCATCGTGGTCCCCATGGGGCACCTCTGCTCTTCTCGAGGCAGCTTGGGCCTTCGCTTGCCCCCACGTCTGCAGAGCTGAGCACCTGCCACCTCTCCCCAGGAAAGGCAACCAAATGCCACCAACTTAAGGCACCCACTGAAGGCACTAACTGAAGGCCACCAACGGAAGGCCGGTTGCCCTGCCAGCCAGATCGCGTACTGCTTAGGAAGAACCAATCAGGCCTTGAGTTCCCTCCACGTGCTGCCCTTCCATTTGTGATGTGGAAGTCCAGGCACTGGCTCACAAAACCGCGCCCCCCAGTGATGCCGCCCCACCTTTCATTTATTGGTAGCTGGTAGCAACTTTCAGGTTTCCTCACTGTGAATTATGAATATGAATTATGATTAAATTACTGTATGCTAATGTACCTCATGCACTATCTGACAGTCAAAGTCCCCTCTTCCCCCATGGCCTCTGAGTTTTTTGGAAACTAGAAAGAAGACACATTTCTGCAGGTGCTTTCAGAAAAAAACATTGCCACGACCTAATGTTACTCTGTGACGTCAAGTCATATTTCATATATCATACATATTCATATTTATATTCATAATTCAAAATGCACATATTCAATCAAATTAACAGGACTAACAAAGGAAATTTTCTAAAACTTATACACTAAGTACATTATATTTTTCTAATGATCACTTTAATAGAGCAACTTAGAATCTATGGTTTGAACAAATGAAGAGGCTTATGCAAGAGAAAACCACCACCTAACACAAGATTTTCAATGTGATCATCATTGCTACTTTTCACTAGCAATTGTCCAGTCAATATATTGTGAACTGCTTTGTGACTATGGTGATTTATTTAAACTTACTGATCCTTTATCTCAAAAATATGAATAATACCAATTTTATAAACTTGTTCTAAAAATTAAATGAGAGAAAAATAATCCTCCTTCTCTATATATTGAAAACCTACAAAATTAATAACATTGTGTCCAGATTTTTACACACTTACCTTATTGAAGCCTCATCACAACCCCGTCTATTAAATTATAGGCATTATTCCCAGATTTTTATACACTTACCTTATGCAAGCCTCGTAACAATCCCATCTTTTATAGATGAGCAAACTGAGGCTCAGACGAGTTAAAAACACATTGACCATCAAATCATAGTGAGTGATGGAACTGGGATTCAAATCCAGTTCTCTCTGACACCAAAGGTGGTGCAATGTAATGAAGACCAAGTTATATCCAGCACATGGAGGGACCAAAACATGTGAATTCCCTTTCTCTACCCTCTTACGTGTGAATTTCAATGGCTTTCACTGCCTCAGAACCATCCCAAACTCCCTCCCAGGTTGCCTTGCAGTGGATCCTTTCTTCTTGGGGATGATTAGGAATCCGCATTTTTGGACCACAGGCATCTATAAAGAGTTGTGTTGATCAAGAAATAAAATTGTCTAGGCCATAAGTTACTGTGAATTGTCTAGCTTCTCTGCAATAAATAAAGGGGCTATTCTCTTTATTTTTTATTATTCCACTATTCACAATAGCCTAGAATCAACCTAAGTGTCCAAGAAGACTCGGTTTAACCCTGGGGATTACTAATGTTTTCATTGTGGTCAATGTGGTAGATTATATTACCATTCTCCCATTATCTGGTCTTCCTACTGCAGTGGCCCTATCTCCTAGAAGATTATACATTTCTGTCCTATTGAAGTAAGGGTCAGATTTAGACATGTGACCGGTTTGGCCAGTGAAATGTAGGTAGAAGTGGCATGTGTAACTTGTTAGCAGAAAATTTCCTTTTTCAAGGATCTGGGAGCCATCCCTTTCAAATGTAATCCTCCAGAAAGATAATACCTTATTTCCCAGTCTCTATGAGAGAGTAAGAGCCTAATCTTGCTCCAAGTTGTAAAAATTACCTTATATTATAAAGATAAAAGAAAGTTTATTTTTCCTTTGAGAAAAGACAGTTAGCAAAGACAGGTGGCCTATGATCACCCCCTTACTCTCGCTTTCAAAAACTCCACTGCCCTTTGTATCAGGGGAGCTGAGTTCAGACTAGGTTCTGGCCTCTCTCCCCTGTTGAATAATATCTTCCTTACTTATTTAACTTTTTCCAGTGCAATTTTTTCTTTGACTCTTTCCTCCCTCTCTGAAACTTGCATTGAAATTTTAGTAGGATACAAGGCAGGCAATCTCGACCCTTGAATATATAAAAGAACCCTTTAGGATTAAAAAACCCATGTTCTCTTCCATAAGTTATTTCTTCAGACTATTGCCTTATTAAAAGTTTCTAGTTCTTATTTTTGCATTGAAAAGGAGAATGATGATTTTTAAATAAGTTCCTACTCACTTTTAATTTCTACTATCACAATTTTATTGCTTTTCATGGCAATAGATTTCTCTGGTTCAACAAGAAGGCCAGAACAAGGAAGTACAGAAACATCTCAATATATCTTAAAAAGTTATTTAACATGGACAGTGTCATTTAATATCTTTAACATCCCTATCAAATGGATGCTATTATTATCCCCCTTTTACAGGATATTAAAACTTACATACTGTAAATAACCAGCTGAAAGTCATATAGCATGGAAAATACAATAAGCATACAAAGAAGCAATGGCATTAGAAGTGGAGGAGAGTTAAGGATTAAAAGGCTAAACTTAGTTTGGTTAAGAAAAAAGAAAACTAGGAGGTGGCAAACTCTTGTTGGAAAGGGGAAGGATTTGGGCAGAGCAAGGTAGTGGAGTCGATCTCTCCAGTAATCTTACCCCTACGGACACATCTATATGAACAACTATCCACATATAAAATTACCTTTACAAGAGCTAACGAACCCTGAATACATGAGTCAGTCTATGAAGCCCCTTTGGACTGCAAAGAGTAGAACCATGCTTGGACAGTAAGGGAACCAGTACTCTGTGACTGTGATACTCCTCCCCCAGGCCATAATGGTATTATATGCAGAAAGTCCTCCTTACAGTTCTTACACTGAATAAAGTGAGCAGAAGTTGAATATTTTTTTCCACCATACTGAGTCCCTTCACAGTAGACTCCTGCATCAGCCCACAAGCAGCACCATGAGTGTCAACAGAGCTGAACCGCCCGAGGCATGCTAGGGACATAGAGAAGGGGTTGGGTTAGCAATACTCATTATATGAAACTTAGCAGTGGCTAGCCATTCCTACCAGAGGAAACACTACACCAGAGAGGTTGTTTATGGGCACCATGCTGTGGGAAACATGATACACAGACTGTCCAGATTTGATAGCCTGACTTGTTCTCCCCCACAGCCAGGAGCCTTTCTGTGGATCACCCATGGGCCCATTCAGTTACATTGCATCAGTGGTGAAGCCCCATTGTGAGACTTATGTCTAACCTTTGCTTTGGGCACCTCCTAATGCTAAAATGGAATATAATGGAAATCCACACCGAATTTCTAAACAAGCCCACTGAGAAACAGTCAAAAACAAACCCAGACTGAGAAGACTGAAATAAATATTTAATTCATCAATGTGTAGACAGAGATATACATCTACAAAAAATAAGAATAGCCTAGGAAAAACTGCCTCACCAAATGGAGAAAATAAGGTGTCAGCAACTGAACCTAAAGACATGCAAATGAATGATGTGGCAGACAAAAAAAATTCAAATAGCTGATTTTAAAAAAAAAATCGGTGAACTTCAACAAAGTACAGAGAAACAATATGGAAATTTATAAGAAATTCAACAAAGAATTTAAAATAATGGGAAAAAATCAAGTGGAAATCCTGGAGTTGGAAAGTTCAGTAAACAAATTGAAAAATGCACTAGAGGGCATCAAAAGCAGAACTGATCAAGTAGAAGAAAAAAACAGTGAGCTCAAAGACAGGCTCTTTGAAAATACACTGTCAAGAGTAGAAAAGAGAAAAAAATGAGAAGAAACAAAGAAAACTTATGAGATCCATGGGACACCATCAAAAAAAAAAAATCTACAGTGTTAAAGTGGAACTGAGAATGAAAAAGAGTTAGAAAATTATTCAGAGAAATAACAGAAAACTTTTTAAACTTAGAGAAACATTAAGATGTTTAGGATGGCCAAAGCGCACTAATCTGATTTAATCTGAATAAGACAACCACAAGATATATTATAATTGAACTTTCAAAGGTCAAAAACAAAGAGTAGGTCCTGAAAGCACTAAGAAAAAGGAAGCATATAATACATAATGTGCCTGGCAGCAGACTTCTCAGCAGAAGCAATGTGGGCCAGGAGAGAGTAGGATAATAGAATCAAGTGCTGAAGAAAAAAACTGTCAACCATGAATGTAGTATCCAGAACAGCTCTCATTTGAAATGAAGGAGAGATTAAAACGTTCTAAGACAAACAAAAGATGAAGGAATTCATTGTAACCATACCTGCCTTAAAAAAAATGTTAAAGAACCGTCTTCAAAGTGAAAGAAAAGGGCACTAATATGTAATGCAAAAAATTGGAAGGTATAAATCCACAGGTAAAAATAAATATTCAGACAAATTCAGAATGCTCTAATATAGTAATAATTGAATGTAAACCACTTACATATTTTTAGTAAGAAGGTTAAAATACAAAACAAAAATAATAACAACTACAATAATTTGTTAAGGGATAAGTGATATAAAAGATGTAAATTCAGACATCAAAAATGCAAAATGTGGGGGAGTGATTGAGTTAAAGAGCAGAGTGATTGTTTTTCCCCATTTCTTATTATCAAAATTAAGTTGTTATCCATTCAAATTACCTGTTGAAACCATAAAATATTCTTCACATGCCTCATAGAAACCAAAAGGCAAAAATATTTAATAGATACACTAAAAATAAAAGAACAAGAAACAAAAACACACAGAAAAAATCACTTAACTACAAAGGAAGACAATAAAGGAACAAAAAGGTACAAAAATTCTAAAAGACAACAAGAAAACCACGTACGGCAGTACAAGTCCTTATCTATCAATAATTACCTTGAATGTAAATAGATTAAATTATCCAGTAAGAAGACAGAGAATGGGTAAATGGATTAAAAACAAGACCTAACTATATTCTTTCTACAAGAGACTCCCATCACCTTTAAATACACGCATAAATTGAAAGTGATCAGATGGAAAAATATATTTTACGACAATGGAAATCAAAAGAATGCAGGAGTAGGTATATTTATATCAAATAAAATATACTTCAAGTAAAAAAACTATAAACACAGACAAACAAGGCCATTATGTAATAATAAAGGGGTCAGTACAACAAGAGAATACAATAATTGTAAATACATAATGCACTCAACATTGGAGAACCTAAATATATAAAGCAAACATTAATAGTTCTAAAAGGAGAGACAAAAAACTGTGCAATAATAGTAAAAAACCTTGACATCCCATTTTCAGTAATGAACAGATCATTGAGAGAGAATGTCAACAAGGAAACATTTAAACTGCACTCTAGGTCAAAAGAATTTAACAGTTATTTACATAACATTTCATCCAACAATTGAATAATTCAGTCTTTTCATCTGCACATGGAATATTGTCCATGATAGATATGTTAGACCACAAAACAAGTCTTAGCTAATCAAAAAATCAAATCATATCACATATTTTTTCTGACCATATGGAATAAAGCTAGAAATAAACAATAAGAGAAACTTCAGAAATTGTGCAAATACATATAAATTAAACAATATATCCCTAAACAACCAACGGGTCAATGAAAAAAAAAATTTTTTTAAATGTCTTAAGACAAATAAAAATGAAATCAGAACATATGAAAACTTATGAGATACAGCAAAACAGTCCTTAGAGGGAAGTTTATAGCAATACATTTCTACATCAATAAAGAAGAAAGATAATGAATAAACCCTCTAATTATGTATTTCAAGGAACTATAAAATCAAGAACAAACTAAGACCCAAATTAGCAAAAGAATATAAAGATCAGAGCACAAATATACAAAATGAAGACAAAAAATACAAATGATTAATTAAAGAATCTTTTTTGAAAAGGTAAAATTGACAAACGTTTTGTCAGACTAAGAAAAAAAGAGAAAATTCACATAAAGTCAGAAATGAAAAAGGATATGCTATGATGGACACTACAGAAATACAAGGAATCATGAGTAAGTACTACAAACAATTATACACCAATAAATTGAAAAACTTAGAAGAAATACATATGCTCTGGACACATATAACCTATCAAAATTGAAGATAGAAGAAATGGAAAATGTGAACACACCAATGACAAATAATGAGATTGAAGGAGTGATTTAGTCTGTCAGTCAAGGAAAATCCAAAAGACTTCACACAGTAGCTCCCACCTGTAATCTCACATTTTAGGATCCCAAGGCAGGAGAATCACTAGAGGCCAGGAGTTCAAGATTAGCCTGGGCAACACAACGGGACTCCATCTCTAAAAATAAAAATAAAAATTCCCCAGGTATAGTGGTGTGTACTTATACTCAGGAGGCTGAGGCAGGAGGATCACTTAAGACCAGGAGTTTGAGGCTGCAGTCAGCTACGACTGCACCACTGTATGCCAGCCTCAGTGATAGAGTGAGACTCTGTCTCTAAAAAAATAGAAGAAGAAAGAAAAGTTCATGACTTGATGGTTTTCACTGACAAATTCTACAAAATATTTTAAAAACTTATACAGATTATTTACAAACTATTTCAAAAAAATGAAAAGGAGGGAACTCTTGCAAACTCATTCTATGAAGACAGCATTACCTGAATCCAAAATGAGACAAGAACAGCAAATAAAAGAAAACTCCAGGCCAATATCATTGATAAACATACATGCAAACATTCAAAACCAGCAGTGCTAGCAATGATAATTCAAAAGCACATTAAAAAGATTATTCACCATAATCAAGTGGTATTTACCCGGGGAGGTAAGGATGGTCTAACACATGTAAATCAATAACTGTGATACATCACATTAAACAATGAAGGATAAAAAACATATAATCATTTCAATAGATGCAGAAAAAGCATATGACAAAATTAGACATCCTTTTATGATCAAATCTTTTGACAAATTAGTTATAAAAGAACATAATAAAATAAAGACCATATGTGATAACCCACAGGCAACATTATACTGAATGGTGAAAAGTTGAAAGCTTTGCCTCTAGGATCTGGAACAAGACAAGGATGTTCACTTTAATCACTTTTTTCAACATAGTACTGGAAGTCCTAGTCAGAACAATTAGGTAAGAGAAAGAAATAAAAGGCATCCAAATTGGAAAAAAAAGTCTAATTGTCCCTCTTTGCAGATGACATGATCATATATGTAAAAAACCCTAAATACCCCACTGAGAATCAGAAATAGTAAATGAATACAATAAGGTTTCAAGATACAAAAGCAACATAAAAAATCAGTAACATCTCTATTCACCAATAGCAGACTATCTGAAAAAGGAATCAAGAAAGTAATCCCATTTAAAATAGCTATTAAAAAAAACAAAATACCTACAAGCAAATTAAGCCACGGAAAGATGAAAATTATTAAACATTGATAAAAGCAATTGAAAAAAATTAAAATAAATAGAAAGATACCCCATATTCATGGACTAGAAGAATTAATATTGTTGAAATGACCACACTACTCAAATCAATCTATAGATCCAATATAATCTCTATCAAATTTCCAATTTCATTCTTCACAGATATTAAAAAAGATCTTAAAATCCATGTGAAACTACAAAACACCCCAAATAGCCAAATAAATCTTAAGCAAAAAGAGCAATGCTAGAGGTATTACACTATCTAATTTCAAAATGTATTGCAAAGCTATCCTAACTAAAACGCATGGTATTGGCATAAAAACAGGGACACAGACCAGTGGAACAAAAATAGAGAGCCCAGGCATAAATCCACACGTTTACATGCAACTTATTTTTGACAAAGATGCAAACATTCAATGGGGAAAAGACAGTATTTTCAACAAATGGTGCTGGGAAAAGTGGATATCCCCATACAAAAGAATGAAAGTAGACCCCTATCTCTCATCATATCCAAAAACCAACTCAAAATAAATTAAATATTTAAATGTAAGACCCCAAACTATGAAACTAGTAGAAGAAAACATAGGTGAAATGTTATATGTCATTGGTCTGGGCAAGGACTTTTTAGAAAAGACATCGAAAGACATGCACAACAAAAGCAAAAATAAACAAATGGGATTACACCAAATAAAAACTTCTGCACTGCATAGGAAACAATCACAAGAGTAAGCAGACAACCTACAAAATGGGAGAAAATATCTGCAAACTATTCACTTGATAAGGGGTTAATATCCCAAATTTATAGAAAACTCAAACAACTCAATAGCAAAAATACAAATAATTGGATTAGAAAATAGTCAAGAGAGCTGAATAGACATTTCTCCAAATAAGACATAAAAATCACCAACAGGTATATGAAAAAAATGCTCACCATCACTAATAATCAGAGAAATGCAAGTCAAACCTGTCAGGCCTCTGGGCCCAAGCTAAGCCATCATATCCCCTGTGACCTGCACGTACACATCCAGATGGTTGGTTCCTGCCTTAACTGATGACATTCCACCACAAAAGAAGTGAAAATGGCCTGTTCCTACCTTAACTGATGACAATATCTTGTGAAATTCCTTCTCCTGGCTCAAAAGCTCCCCTACTGAGCACCTTGTGATCCCCACTCCTGCCCACCAGAGAACAACCCCCCTTTTTCCTTTACCTACCCAAATCCTATAAAATGGCCCCACCCCTATCTTCTTTCACTGGCTCTCTTTTCGGACTCAGCCCACCTGTACCCAGGTGAAATAAACAGCTTTATTGCTCACACAAAGCCTGTTTGATGGTCTCTTCACATGGACGCGAGTGAAATTTGGTACCGTGACTCAGATCGGGGGACCTCCCTTAGGAGATCAATCCCCTGTCCTCCTGTTCTTTGCTCCGTGAGAAAGATCCACCTATAACCTCAGGTCCTCAGACCAACCAGCCCAAGAAACATCTCACCAATTTCAAATCCGGTAAGTAGCCTCTTTTTACTCTCTTCTCCAACCTCCCTCACTATCCCTCAACCTCTTTCTCCTTTCAATCTTGGTGCCACACTTCAATCTCTCTCTTCTCTTAATTTCAATTCATTTCATTTTCTGGTAGAGACAAAGGAGACACGTTTTATCCATGGACCCAAAACCCTGGTGCTGGTCACAGACTAGGGAAGGCAGCCTTCCATTGGTGTTTAATCATTGCAGGGACGCCTCTCTGATTATTCACCCAGGTTTCAGAGGTGTCAGACCACACAGGGATGCCTGCCTTGGTCTTTCACCCTTAGTGGCAAGTCCCACTTTTCTGGGGGAGGGGCAAGAACCCCAATCCCTTCTCTCCATGTCTCTACCCCTTCTCCACTTTTCTGGGGGAGGGGAAAGAACCCCTCAACCCCTTCTCCTTCACCCTTAATGGCAAGTTCTGCTTTTCTGGAGGAGGGGCAGGAACCCCAACCTCTTATCTCTGTGCCCCGATCCCTTATTTCCGTGCCCCGACCTCTTATCTCTGTGCCCCAGCTCCTTATTTCCACGCCCCAACCCCTTCTCTGCTTTTCTGGAGGGCAAGAACCCCCCACCCCTTCTCCGTGTCTCTACTCTCTTTTCTCTAGGCTTGCCTCCTTCACTATGGGAAAGCTTCCACCTTCCATTCCTCCTTCTCCCTTAGCCTGTGTTCTTGAGAACTTAAAACCTCTTCAACTCTCACCTGACCTAAAATCTAAGCATCTTGCATCTTATTTTCTTCTGCAATGCCACTTGACACCAATACAAACTCAACAGTAGTTCCAAATAGCTGGAAAATGGCACTTTCAATTTTTCCATCCTACAAGATCTAAATAATTCTTGTCATAAAATAGACAAACGGTCTGAGGTGCCTGATGTCCAGGCATTCTTTTACACATCAGTCCCTCCCTAGTCTCTGTTCCCAATGTAACTCATCCCAAATCTTCCTTCTTTCCCTCCCACCTGTCCCCTCAGTCCCAACCCCAAGCATTGCTGAGTCTTTCTAATCTTCCTTTTCTACAGACCCATCTGACCTCTCCCCTCCTCACCAGGCTGAGCTAGGTCCCAATTCTTCCTCAGCCTCTGCTCCTCCACCCTATAATCCTTTTATCACCTCGCCTCCTCACACCCGGTCTGGCTTTCAGTTTCATTCTGTGACTAGCCCTCCCCCACCTGCCCAGCAATTTACTCTTAAAAAGGTGGCTGGAGCTAAAGGCATAGTCAAGGTTAATGCTCCTTTTTCTTTATCCCAAATCAGATAGCGTTTAGGCTCTTTTTCATCAAATATAAAAATCCAGCCCAGTTCATGGCTCGTTTGGCAGCAACCCTGAGATGTTTTACAGCCCTAAGAGCCTAAAAGATCAAAAGGCCGTCTTATTCTCAACATACATTTTATTACCCAATCTGCTCCCGACATTAAATAAAACTCCTAAAATGAAATTCTGGCCCTGAAACCCCACAACAGGACTTAATTAACCTCACCTTCAAGGTGTACAATAATAGAGTAGAGGCAGCCAAGTAGCAACATATTTCTGAGTTGCAATTCTTTCCCTCCACTGTGAGACAAACCCCAGCCACATCTCCAGCACACAAGAACTTCCAAATGCCTAAACCGCAGTGGCCATGCATTCCTACAGAACCGCCCCCACTAGGAGCTTGCTACAAGTGCCAGAAATCTGGCCACCAGGCCAAGAAATGCCCACAGCCCTAAGCCATGTCCTCCTAAGCCATGTCCCATCTGTGCAGGACCCCATTGGAAATTGGACTGTCCAACTCACCTGGCAGCCACTCCCAGAGCCCCTGGAACTCTGGCTCAAGGCTGTCTGACTGACTCCTTCCCAGATCTTCTTGGCTTAGCGGCTGAAGACTGACACTGCCTGATCACCTCGGAAGCCCCACAGACCATCACAGATGCTGAGCTTTAGGTAACTCTCACAGTGGAAGGTAAGTCCATCCCCTTCTTAATCAATATGGAGGCTACCCACTCCACATTACCTTCTTTTCAAGGGCCTGTTTCCCTTGCCTCCATAACTGTTGTAAGTATTGACAGCCAGGCTTCTAAACCTCTTAAAACTCCCCAACTCTGGTGCCAATTTAGACAATACTCTTTTAAGCACTCCTTTTTAGTTATCCCCACCTGCCCAGTTCTCTTATTAGGCCGAGACACTTTAACTAAATTATCTGCTTCCCTGACTATTCCTGGACTACAGCTACATCTCATTTCTGCCCTTCTTCCCAATCCAAAGCCTCCTTTGCATCCTCCTCTTGTATCCCCCGACCTTAACCCACAAGTATAAGATACCTCTACTCGCTCCTTGGCAACTCATCATGCACCCCTTACCATCTCATTAAAACCTAATCACCCTTACCCCTCTCAATGCCAATATCCCATCCCACAGCATGCTTTGAAAGGATTAAAGCCTGTTATCACTCGCCTGCTACAGCATGGCCTTTTAAAGCCTATAAACTCTCCTTACAATTCCCCCATTTTACCTGTCCTAAAGCCAGACAAGCCTTACAAGTTAGTTCAGGATCTATGCCTTATCAACCAAATTGTTTTGCCTATGAACCCCATGGTGCCAAACCCATATACTCTCCTATCCTCAATACCTCCCTCCACAATCCATTAGTCTGTTCTGGATCTCAAACATGCTTTCTTTACTATTCCTTTTCACCCTTCATCCCAGCCTTCTTCACTTTCACTTGGACTGACCCTGACACCCATCAGGCTCAGCAAATTACCTAGGCTGTACTGCTGTAAAGCTTCACAGACAGCCTCCATTACTTCAGTCAAGCCCACATTTCTTCCTTATCCGTTACCCATCTCAGCATAATTCTCATAAAAACACATGTGCTATCCCTGCCAATCATGTCTGACCAATCTCTCAAACCCCAAACCCTTCTACAAAACAACAACTCCTTTCCTTCCTGGGCATGGTTAGATACTTTCGCCTTTAGATACCTGGTTTTGCCATCCTAACAAAACCATTACATAAACTCACAAAAGGAAACCTACATGACCCCATAGATCCTAAATCCTTTCCCCACTCCTCTTTCTGTTCCTTGAAGACAGCTTTAGAGACTGCCCCCACTCTAGCTCTCCCTGACTCATCCCAACCCTTTTCATTACACACAGCTGAAGTGCAGGGCTGTGCAGTCAGAATTCTTACACAAGGACTGGGATCGCGTCCTGTAGCCTTTTTGTCCAAACAACTTGACCTTACTGTTTTAGACTGGCCATCATGTCTCCATGCAGCGGCTGCTGCCACCCTAATACTTTTAGAGGCCCTTAAAATCACAAACTATGCTCAACTCACTCTCTACAGCTCTCATAATTTCCAAGATCTATTTTCTTCCTCACACCTGACGCATATACTTTCTGCTTCCCAGCTCCTTCAGCTGTACTCACTCTTTGTTGAGTCTCCCACAATTACCATTTTTCCTGGCCCAACTTCAATCTGGCCTCCCACATTATTTCTGATACCACACCTGACCCCCATGACTGCATCTCTCTGATCCACCTGACATTCACTCCATTTCCCCACATTTCCTTCTTCCCTGTTTCTCACCCTGATCACACTTGGTTTATTGATGGCAGTTCCACCAGGCCTAATCACCACACACCAGCAAAGGCAGGCTATGCTATAGTACAAGCCACTAACCCGCCTCTTAGAACCTCTCATTTCCTTTCCATCGTGGAAATCTATCCTCAAGGAAATAACTTCTCAGTGTTCCATCTGCTATTCTACTACTCCTCAGGGATTATTCAGGCCCTCTCCCTTCCCTACACATCAAGTTCAAGGATTTGCTCCTGCCCAGGACAGGCAAATTTGCTATTCTACTACTTCTCAGGGATTATTCAGGCCCCCTCCCTTCCCTACACATCAAGCTTAAGGATTTGACCCCACCCAGGACTGGCAAATTAGCTTTACTCAACATGCCCCGAGTCAGGAAACTAAAATACCTCTTGGTCTAGGTAAGACACTTTCACTAGATAGGTAAAGGCCTTTTCCACAGGGTCGAAGAAGGCCACCACGGTCATTTCCTCCCTTCTGTCAGACATAATTCCTTGGTTTGGCTTCCCACCTCTATACAGTCTGATAGCAGACCGGCCTTTATTAGTCAAATCAGCCAAGCATTTTTTCAGGCTCTTAGTATTCAGTGAAACCTTTATATCCCTTACAGTCCTCAGTCTTCAGGAAAAGTAGAACAGACTAATAGTCTTTTAAAAACACACCTCACCAAGCTCAGCCACTAACTTAAAAAGGACTGGACAATACTTTTACCACTTTCCCTTCTCAGAATTCAGGCCTGTCCTCAGAATACTACAAGGTATAGCCCATTTGAGCTCCTGTATAGACGCTCCTTTTTATTAGGCCCCAGTCTCATTCCAGACACCAGATCAACTTGGACTATGCCCCAAAAAACTTGTCATCCCTACTATCTTCTGTCTACTCATACTCCTATTCACCATTCTCAACTACTCATACATGCCCTGCTCTTGTTTACACTGCCAGTTTACACTGTTTCTCCAAGCCATCACAGCTGATATCTCCTGGTGCTACCCTCAAACCGTCACTCTTAACTCTTAAAGTAAATAAAAAATCTTTGCTGGCAAAGCTATGCTGAACCTCCTTAGGCACTCTCTAATTAGATGTCCTAGGTCCTCCCAATTGTTAGTCCTTTAATACCTGTTTTTCTCCTTGTCTTATTCCGTTTAGTTTTTCAATTCATACAAAACTGTATCCAGGCCATCGCCAATAATTCTAAATGACAAATGTTTCCTCTAACAACCCCACAATATCACCCCTTACCACAAAATCTTCCTTCAGCTTAATCTCTCCCACTCTAAGTTCCCACGCCGCCCCTAATCCCGCTCGAAGCAGCCCTGAGAAACATCACCCATTATCTCTCCATACCACCCCTAAAAAATTTTCACTGTCCCAACACTTTACCACTAATTCATTTTATTTTTCTTATTAATATAAGAAGACAGGAATGTCAGGCCTCTGAGCCCAAGCTAAGGCATCATATCCCCTGTGACCTGCACGTACACATCCAGATGGCCGGTTCCTGACTTAACTGATGACATTCCACCATAAAAGAAGTGAAAATGCCCTGTTCGTACCTTAACTGATGACATTATCTTGTGAAATTCCTTTTCCTCGCTCATCCTGGCTCAAAAGCTCCCCTACTGAGCACCTTGTGACCCCCACTCCTGCCCGCCAGAGAACAACCCCCCTTTTGCCTTTACCTACCCAAATCCTATAAAATGGCCCCACCCCATCTCCCTTCACTGACTCTTTTCGGACTCAGCCCACCTGCACCCAGGTGAAATAAACAGCTTTATTGCTCACACAAAGCCTGTTTAGTTTAGTGGTCTCTTCACACAGATGCAAGTGAAAAAACCCACAGTGAGATATCATCTCACCCTGCTTAGAATGCCTTTTATGAAAAAGCCAAAAAATAACAAATGCTGGCAAGGATGTGAAGAAAGGGGAATGTTCATACACTGTTGGTGGAAATGTAAATTAGAGCAATTGTTATGGAAAACAATATAACTTCCAAAAACATTAAAAATAGACTTACCACATAATCCAGCAATCCCCCTACTGGGTGTATATTCAAAGAAAATTAAATCAGTATGTCAAAGAGATTTCTGCACTCTCATGTTTATTACAGCACTATTCACAATAGCCTAGAATCAACCTAAGTGTCCATCAATGAATGAATGGATAAAGAAAATGTGGCATATATGCTGTATTTGGCCATTCTTGCATTGCTATAAAGAAATAACTGAGATTGGATAATTTATAAGAAAAGAGACTTAATTGGCTCCTGGTTCTGTGGGCTCTACAGGAAGCATAGTGCCAACATCTGCTTCTGGGGCCTCAGGAAGCTTGAGAACTTGTTCACTATCATGAGGATAGCACCAAGCCATGAGGGATCCACCTCCATGACCCAAACACCTCCTACCAGGCCCCATTTCTAACAGTGGGGATTACAATATAACATGAGATATGGGTCAGGACAAATATCCAAACTATATCATATGCACACTTGGCCATAAAAAAAGGATAAAATCGTGTCATTTGTGACAACATGAATGAGTAGAGAGGACATTGTGGTAAGTGAAATAAGCTAACCACAGAAAGACAAATATCACATGATCTCATTCATATGTGAAATCTAAAAACACTGATCTAATAGAGAGTAGAAGAGTGGTTACCAGACTGGGAAAGTTAGGGAGAAGAGGTTTTAACAATGTATCATGTATCAAAATACCACATTGTACCCCATCAACATGTGAAATTATCATGTGTCCACTTAATAAAAAAAAAGAAAATGGAAGAGTCAAGATACTGGGGCACTTGAAGAGATAGAAGGTGAATTGGCAGTAAGGAAGAGAGAGTCTGAAAGAGCAGGTCACAGAGTGGAACATTAAAGTTTATAACATTAGAAATCAATTTTTAAGTTATTGAAAAGTTTATAGCCATGAAAGTGAGTAGCTCAATTGAAGTGAAAGTAAAAGTCAATGAAAGATTAAATTAGAAAATATATTGCTTGGCATTTAGTAGTTACTTCAGAAATATTAATAAATCTTAAGAAAATTAAGAACGCCAAAGCATTCATAGTGGGCCATTATCATAATACAAATGTATGTGGTAATATTTTATTCTTTCTAGTGAAGGGAGTAATTCAACAGTCTTGATTATAGGTTAGAAAATGATTCTCCAGGTGTGACCCACTGACCACATTCATTGTATTTGAATTGCTTGAGCAACTTGTTTCAGAAGAAAATGGAAAGATTTTAAGATGGACCAATGAAATTACCACTGAGTGTCTTCAAGAAATCTCAGCCTTGCCTAGAATAACCTGGGTTATCTGTTTCTATGGGGTCTTTTTGCCTTTTGTTTTCTTTGTTATTTGCAATCCTGTTAGTCATAGATTACTGATAGTAATGCAAATATTCTTGTCCATAGACATGCAAATGACTGATTTGGGTGGAAGTATAATTAATTTTCCTTTTTTCACCTTCCATCAAGAAGTCAGTTTTGAACCTATCAAGAAAATTTATTTCAGTGTTCCTTAGTGCATAGAGATGTGTGGCTCTTTTAATTTTCCATAAAACTCATTATAACATCTTACTGACTCCCTCATTAAATAAATGAGTTAAACAAAAATCTTAGACAAATGTTCATTTTATATTTGTAAGTCATAATTTATCCTACTTGAAGCAATTTTCCTTTAACATTCCTAAAAATACAGATTCCTATGCCCCATGCTAGACCTACTGAATCAAAATCTCAGGCCTAAGGCACAAGAATTTGCATTGTTAGTAAGCTTTTCAAGTGATTTTTAGGCATACTATATTATATTAACCATTACCATTCTAATTCTTTAAACTTGAATTATTGTGTTTATAATTCCAACTTCATCAAAGTAAACTTTTTGTTAGCAAAAACGGTAGAAACCCCCTTATTCAATAAGATTGGGACCAGTAATAAATAGATTAATAACAAATTTAAGTTAGATGGAGGAATCATAAGAAGTATTAGATGTAAGTCCTTAAAACAACTTTAATTTAAAAGACATGTGTAAATAAATTTGCCACTATTTTGATGACAAGGTCAAAGCCTTGCACGGATTCAATGAGTGGAGTTTCTTGTGGAAACTATGCCAATGATATGTTGTCATTCATTTCTCGTTCACTTTCTGTGAAGACAACTGGGGTAAAGCAATCTGAAATCCTAGAGTATACAATTTTTCCCATTTGTTTCTAGTTGTCTTGCCCACTGTTAAGTTGGCAGCAACTGTTTGAGTGTCTCATTTTCCCAACACATTTGGTTTATTTCTCAAAGAAACAACAATACTACTCTTGTTGTACTCATTTTCTCAGTTTACATAATATTTATTTTTTATTTTATTTATTTTTTTTTTGAGATGGAGTCTCGCTCTGTTGCCCAGGCTGGAGTGCAGTGGTGCCATCTCTACTCACTGCAAGCTCCGCCTCTCAGGTTCACCTCATTCTCCTGCCTCAGCCTCCCAAGTAGCTGGGAGTACAGGCGCCCGCCACCACGCCCTGCTAATTTTTTTGTATTTTCAGTAGAGACCGGGTTTCACCATGTTAGCCAGGATGGTCTCGATCTCTTGACCTAGTTATCCGCCCTCCTTAGCCTCCCAATATAATATTTAATTAAATTGCATAACTACAAGAGCAAGAACAAATGGTGTAAACATATTTAGGAATGAACACAGCTTCCTCTTAGAAACTATATAATTTCTGTGATGGAAGGAGAAATGTACAGGCATTAAAAGTAGCTCAAAGGCTTTCAGTTTGCAATGGACATCAGTCAATAAGTTGTACAGGGGTACCAGAAAGTGCTAATTGTAAATCAGTTAAGTGGAGGTCAGTTAAGGCAGCATCCACTGTATCTTAATTTGTGAAGTGAATGTTCTAAAACTGGGTTCACTTTTGCTATAAAGGACCAGATGATAAATATTTTAAGCTTTGCAAACCATACGGTCTCTATAGCAACCATTCAACTCTACCATTGTAGCAGGAAAGCACCATAGATCCATGGATGTGCTCCAATAAAACTTTATTAAAACAGGCAGCTGGTCTGAGGTCCATGTATATATCTTGCTGTTTTCATACAATTTTCTAAGTTAGTAGTTTCCTGCCTTTTTAACAATCACGGATTACTTTTAATCCTCTCCTCTGATTTTATGTTTCAAAAGCCTTAAGAAAAACCCACAAAATATATTTATTTTGTAATTTTGGGGGTGGTTCTTATTTTATTAATAAGTAATCAATGATATATAAAGGCTACCCATTAGGTCAGTATGAAATAATCAACATTACTAACTCTAATGACTTAGTTCTGGATAGAAATAAAATATATTCAACTATATATACATAACTTAAAACCTGTATAGCTGTTTCTGGTGTAAATATATAACTTTTCGAGATTTTTTCAAGTATTAAATACAACTTTTGGGAATCCCCACACCTGGCTCCCTATGATGACGTTCAAGAATTCCTTAGGATTCTGGGAATCTTAGAATGAAAGTCACTGCTCTGTAGGAATGAATGAATGAATGAAAAAGAAAACGAAGGAAGAAGACAGAGCATGTCTACTAATTATAAATTAATCATCAATGAATGTTTATTTTATAAATAAATTTGTCAACTTTAGGTTGCCAAATCTAACAAGATACCAACATGGCATTCATGGTGATCACACCTCTAGTCAAATTTTATTTTAGTTCATTGACTATACTATTAATATCCTGAAATACTCAAAACTTCTGTCTCAATTCGGTGAATAATTCACTTATTAATCACCGTATACACTACTTAATGAATGGAATGGTGCTTGGAATAAAGATAATTACAGGGCTAAAAGGTTTTTCTCTGGAGGCAGGGCATAGAATTTTGTTGTCTGACTGGAATAAAACAAAATTAATCAATATTTTCTGCAACCAGTGGCTTTTGACTTAGTCGTCTATTAATATCTATCAATCACTATAATCTCAGTCCTATTTCCTCCATTTTTCTTTTTGCTATCATAAAAACTTGTCCATTTTTTTCCTGTTAGATCTATATGTTTCTCCTCTTTTCTTTTCATCCAAACAACTGGACATCAACTTAGTACACATAGTCCAATTTATCCGAACCTTACAGAACTCACTGTTTCCATTTACATAACTTACATAACTGTCAAGCTGAAATCACTCTCAAATTTTTTTAATTCAAAATTTTAATTTAATTTAATAATATTTATTTATTCATTAATTAATTTATTTTGAAAATAATTTTAACTTGTATTTTACATTCAGGGGTACATGTGCCAGTTTGTTACATGGGTATATCTCATAATGCTGAGTTTTGGGGTATGAATGATCCCATCATCCAGATGCTGATTTGGTATGATTTGACTCTGTGTCCCCACCCAAATCTCATGTTGAATTGTAATTCCCAATGTAGGGGGAATGACATGGTGGGAGGTGATTAGCTCATGAGGGCAGATTTCCCCCTTGTTGTTCTTAGATGGTAAGTGAGTTCTCATGACATCTGATGGTTTAAACATATGGCAAATCCCCCCTGGCTCACTTGCTCTCCTTCCGCCATGGTAGAACGTGCCTTGCTTCCCCCTTCACCATCTGCCATGATTATAAGTTTCCTGAAGCCTCCCAGCCATGCTTCCTGTACAGCCTGTGGAATTGTGAGTCAGTTAAACCTCTTTTCTTTATAAATTACCCAGTCTCAGGTAGTTCTCTACAGCAGTGTGAGAACAGATTAATACATGAGCATAATACCCAATAGGTAGTTTTTCAAACCTTGCCTTCCTCCTTCTCCCCTCTAGTAGTCCCGGTGTTTATTCTTTCCATCTTTATGTCCATGAGTACCCAGTGTTTAGCTCCCACTTATAAGTGGGATCATGTGGTATTTTGTTTTATGTTCCTGCATTAATTCACTTAGGATAATGGCCTCCGGCTGCATCCATGTTGTTTCAAAGGACATGATTTTGTTATTTTTATGGCTGCATAGTATTCCGTGGTGTATGAAATGGTTTGGAAGGTGGCCCCTATAAATCTCATGATGAAATGTAATCCTCAGTGTTGGAGGTGGGGCCTGGTAGGGTCATGGGGATGGATCTCTCATGGCCTGATGCCGTCCTTGTGATAGTGAATTCTTTCAAGATCTGGTTGTGTAAGGGTGTGTGGTACTTACCCCCACTCCCATTTTCTCTTGCTCCTCCTCGGACCATGTGATGTGCCTACTCCCTCTGTGCCTTCCATCATGAGTAAAAGCTCCCTGGGGCCTCCACAGGCGCCATGCAGATGCCATCACCATGCTTCCTGTACAGCCTGCAGAGATGTGAGCCAATTAAATCTCTTTTCCTTATAAATTACCCAGCCTCAGGTATTTCTTCATAGCAATGCAAGAATGGCCTAATCATACTGTGTAGATGTACCACATTTTATTGATCCAATCCACTGTCGATGGGCACCTAGGCTGACTCCATGTCTTTGCTATTGTGAATAGTGCTGCGATGAACATGCAAGTGCATATGTCTTTTTGGTAGAATAACTGATTCTCTTTGGGTTATATACCAGTAATGGAATTGTTGGCTTGAATGGTAATTCTATTTTAAATGCTTTGAGAAATTTCCAAACCGCTTTGAACAGTGGCTGAACTAATTTACATTTGCACCAATTATGTGTAAATGTTCCCCTTTCTCCACAGCCTCCCAAGATCTGTTGTTTTTCAATTTTTGAATAGTAGCTATTCTGACTGGTGTAGGATGGTATCTCGTTTTGGTTTTGATTTGCATTTCTCTGATGATTAGTGATGTTAAGACTAATCTTTGCCACCAAAAAACTAGGAAAATACAGTGTCACTTGTCAAAATAAATTGTTTTACTTTGCTTTAAAAATAATCAATTGAGTAGTATATTTCTTCCAGCAAAATTAAGAAGTAAACATTTAGAATTGTACAGTACCTTGCTGTTAAGTCTTCGCACAAGTATACCAATCGAACATAAAGGCCACCTTAAACTTTCATTTGAAATGAAAGACAATTTTTAAGAGGTTAAGGGCTAGTAATTTCTTAAAGTCCTGAAGTTAAATTAGCTCAAGTAAATGCAAAGACTTTCCTTTAATTAAAGACTTTTAAATGAACACTTTAAAGCATAGTTGGTTTCTCCCTCAAATCTTGTCCAAAGCCACTGTTTACAACTCAGCATATCAAAGAAGGCTTCAGACATGATTGTGAAGCTCCCTCAACTTACAGTGTGCTATTTGCAACCTTAGATGCTATCATTCTGGCTTTTCTAACTTTTAGCAACAATAAGCACACCCTTCTCATTTCTCCCCCACCCTGACTTACCCCTCTTTTCATTTAATATACAATTTTTCTCAGAGTGTTCTTACACATCTTTAACTGTAAATATGACAAAAGCACACAGTATAGTACATTTATCACATGTATAAATGCTGTATCTAGTCATACAATTTTCCTTTTAAAAAAGAAATATTTTATTTTCAAAAAGCAAAGACTCTAGGAATCTTTTCTAGCTGCCAGTCATAAAAACATAAATTCCTGGTTAGTTTCCCAAATTTGCCTGACCATAAGAACCACTTGTGATACTTGTCAAACACATGTATGCTGAGTCCCATCCATGATCTCCTGAATCAGAATCACCAGGTGAGAGGCCTGGGAATACACATTTTAAACAAATGTCCACAGTGATTATGATTAGTAAAGCTTGAAAAACATTTCACTAGGATCTTTATGACTGAATAACCTCACAAACATAGGAAAGTTACTGGAAAAAAATATGAGCAGAATTTCAGAATTCTGCCTTTGCTGAAAGTGTTTGTTCCCTCCTCCTCTACTCATCAAGACCTGACTGCTTATGCAACTCCCCCAAACCATCAATGGGAAGAGCTGAAAATGATTTTAATGAAGAAGAAAAGCTGATGTTTAATTTCAAAACTGACGGTTTGAATAGAAGGGAGAGGCATGAATTTATCTTGATTCTAACAGAAAGCATTGTATTTGGGTCTACAAACGAAATTGGTTTCATTTTTATTTTTTGTAAGTTTTCGCCAAACTCTGTGCATATATAGAGGCTGGGCAAGAAAGAAAGAAATCCAGAAATACGGCATATGCCATCCCTTATTTATTTCCCCATGCGACCAGCCAACAGCTTCTTCACCTAGTCCCTGCTTCAAGCTGACTTTCAGTCTACTTCTCTATCGGAAATGGAGCTTCCCCAAAGACTGCCTCAATGTCAGTTACCCAGAGGCCTTTTTTCCATCTTGGGCTCCTAAACTTCTATGATATTAAATGATACTACCCTTTCTGGAAATTCTCCTTAGCTTTGATTTCTATAATTTAACTCTGTTTCATTCCTTCTTTTATAGCCTTTCTTTTCTCTATCCCTTTACTGTAGACATATTGTACGACTTTGTTCTTGACCTTCTGATCTCTCCACATTCATTCCTTCAGAGCATGTATCCATTTTCTTGGTGTCAGGCTTCCTGACTATCTGATTATTACCATCATATAACGATGTTGGTGATGAGCATAGCTAACATATCCTAGGCATTTTCCATGTAGGTTATAATAAGCACCCTATATAACTCGTACCATTTAATTCTTCAACCCTAAATGATACTATTACTAACCACATTGTATGAGACGAGGAAACAGATTTTCATCAAAACCCTGGAAAGCCAACGTGAGGAGCCCCTGTGTGTCTCCTTTGTTAATGACTCCGGGCATCATGGCATGTGGATTGCCATGGAATGGGGATTAGGAAGCGCAGCACTGTGAAAACACCAGAAAATACGTTGATAGCGGTAAGGACGCTCATCTCTGCACATTGTGACGGTTTTGTTTCTGAGTCAGGTTTGAGATGAGCCAATCCTGACTCCATGGTGCCACCAGGGATCACGAATTTAATAAGATCTTCGTGGATGCTTGGAACCCAACTGGTCTCGGTTTTCTACTTTAGGGAAAGAGCCACAGCTTGAGTGGGGTGGTTTTGGTGTCACATACGCGATTAATAACACCCACCGCTGCAGAGGAATCACCGTGGACTACTCCTCCTTTCATCCCATGCTCTTGCGATGGATCCCTCTCACCTGTTTACTGATTTCATTCAAATTCTTCAGCGACCACAGGACCCCGACTTGCCTTCTCTATCCTGGTTCCCTCACTCTGCTTTACAGGCCTGGCCTGCTCGCTGCTCCTCACACCAGCGCTGCACGGCTCCCTCCACGCCTCCGCCCTGTTTCCTCCATCAGACAGGACTAGCTTCCTCCATCTCTGTCGGGCAAATGCCTGCCCAGCCTTCAAGACCCTCCTCAGATGCCGCCTCCACGATTAGGCTTCTTTCAGACCCCTGAGCCTGTAACACGGGCTACCATAACTCTCCACCTCAGCCCACATTCCCACAGCACTCGCGACGTCCGCGACCCTCAACATGGCGCTTCATTCTCTTTTAGGGTATTTCCTGCTTGTTTCCTGCACACACAGTCGCGCGAGGCGCAGTCCTGAGTGACCCACGCACGAGTGGCCCGCGCTTCCAGCCGCGCCGCCGCAGGCCAGCGAGGGCAGCCTGAGCCGCTTCCCGCCCCGGCGAGGACCGTCGCCAGCCCGCTGCTCTAGCAGGAGGCGGTTCCACAGCGCACCCGGCAGCCCAGCCACCGTCAGCACCGCGCCTCGGGCGGGCTTTTCTCCCTTCCGGGAGGCGCGAATCCTCAGGGGCTCCTTGAGAGGGCGCCAGGGAGCAGCTGCGCGCGGATGCCTTTTGGCCCTCTGCGGCCGCCGTAGCTCCCCGGCAGAAACCCGGAAGTGGAACTCTGAGCCATTCAGCGTTTGGGTGAAGACGGAGGCGGGTTCTACAGAGACGTAGGCTGTCAGGGAGTGTTTATTTCGCGTCCGCTTCTGTTTCTCCGCGCCCCTGTGCTGCCCCGACTCACATACTCGTCCAGAACCGGCCTCAGCCTCTCCGCGCAGAAGTTTCCCGGAGCCATGGCCGAGTACTCCTACGTGAAGTCTACCAAGCTCGTGCTCAAGGGAACCAAGACGAAGAGGTGGGTCCTGCAGCTTGGGCGGGAGCCTCCTCCGTTCTTTTCGGACGCACTCCACCCCCGCAACTCCGGTGGAAGCCGTGGCGCGGAGAGCCGGCTTTGTGGCCTCCCAGGCTTCGCCCTGGCCCCTGTCCGGGCTGGACGGAGGCCGGGCCGCGGTTCCCGGCGTCTGTGCAGAGAGGGGCAGCCTCCCGCGCGGACGACCCTGGAAACAGGATAGACGGGCAGGTGACCCGTGACCCCGTACCCACGAGTTTGGGTCCCCTGAGGCATCTCTCCAGGCCTCTGCCTGGGGGGTCTGCATTAGTCTGATCTCGTAGTTCATGATAATTTCCTTTATTAGGGATTATTATTTTCTCCATTGTCTCTTTTCTTTCTAGAAAACTTATTAATTTTTTCTAATCTAATATGTACAGTGAAACCAGGATGAATCACACAGTGGTTGAGGTGTATATGGGCTTTAGGGATATGGGCTCGAACCTGCACTCTTGTCATTTACTAGTTTTGTAATTTGTGGCAAATTGGTTAATATGTCTGAACTTCCATTTACTCATTAAGAGATCAAATATCTGAACCTCCGTTTACACATTTATACTTTCAGACGTTTTTTATACTTTTAGAAGACTGTGAGGATTAAATGAGAGAACATATATGCAGAAAATAAATTGAGCCAAATGTGAGGAGGAGGTCGTAATGGTAATTTATTAGCTTTTTAGGAAAAAATACCTGTGCACTCATATCCCCGCTTCTTTTTTAACTGGCAGATTTGCCCGAGGTACATACAAATGTCGAGTATTTCCTCCTGGTCTCCGTGATAAACAGAGGTTTTGATATTTTTAGGCGAGATAGAAAGTATCAAGGAGTGAGTTGAAGCCACTGGCCTTGAGAACCCTCTCGAGGAGTCTGGCCTCATGAAGATGCCAGAATAAATGGCAGGTTTATCCTGAATGAATGTGAGATTTTTACTCTGTGAATTTCCTGGGAGGAGAGGAGAGTTATCTTCTGAAAACTTTATAATGAAAATGCAGACACGGGTGTCTTAAGATCATCGTAATAATCATAATTAATGCTCATATAGCACTGTCAATGTGCCAAGAAATTGTTGTAGGCACTTTGCACATTAACTTTTTTTCAAATCACTCTTGGTTTTTTATTTTTTTATTGAGATATAATTCATAATTATAAAATTCACCCTTTTGTACAGTCAGGGGTTTTTAGTATATATTCAAGAGGTTCACCACTGTCTAGTTGCTCAGCATTTTCATCATCTCAGAAGGAAATCTCCCCCTACCCATTAAAGCAGTCACATCCCATCCTCCCCCTCTCCTAGTCCTTGGCAACCACTAATCCGCTCTCTATGTGAAATCGCCTATTCTGAATATTTCCTAAGAAATCATGCAACATGTGGCCTTTTGTATCTGGCTCCTTTCACTTATAACATTATTGAGGTTCATCATTGTTGTAGCGCCTGTTCCTTTTTATGGCTGCATAGTATTCCATTGTATGGATGTATCATTTTGTTCATCCATTCATCAACTGATGAACATTTGGGTTGTTTCCCCTTTTTGGCTATTGTGACTAATGCTAGTGTGAATATTCTTATGTAAGTATTTTTGTGGGTGTATGTTTTCATTTCCCTTGGGTATACATACTTAGGAGTAAAATTGCTGGGTCATGTGGTAACTTTAACTTTTTGAGGAACCCCAAACTGTTTCCTGTAGATGCTGCACCATTTTACATTTCCACCAGGAATGTGTGAAGGTACATATTACCTCTTAATCCTCACAATAGCCTTAAGAGTTAGGTTAAGTTACTATCCTAATTTTTTAAGTGGGGAAACTGACTCAGAGAGATTCAGTACCTTTTCCAAAAATCACGGAGCTAAGAAGTGAAAGAATCAGGATTTAAAATCTGGCAGTGTGGCTCTACAATCTGCTTTGAACTCTAACGTAATATGTGCAAAGCCTGAAGCAACTTCTCAGTACTGTATTTAAGAGGGCATATCAATGTAAGTCTTCCTAAATCAATAATTTATAAATGAAACAGCTTAAAAGACTTTCAAGTTTCAATCTTACAATATTTATCGTACAAATCAATATACCTAAACTCGTCTATATAAATTATGTCCTGTAGTAAGAAGAAAAAGAGCAAAGATAAGAAAAGAAAAAGAGAAGAAGATGAAGAAACCCAGCTTGATATTGTTGGTGAGTCAGTTTTCAGTGCTCTATTCTGAAAAAAGTTAATGTTTCTTGAGATCTCCTTGAAAGTGTTTTCCTAGTTAGAAATTTATGATGTATTCATATTTGTCTTAAAGTGCTTAAATATTACCTACAGTTATAAATTCCATTTATTCTTTAACACAGTAGATGCTACTGATGCCTTTACTTCATTATCAGGAGAGAAAAATTATAACTCTCTGACTTAGTAGGCACCATTAGACTGCTTAATAGCCAGAGATTCTAATACATAATTTTAAAGGCCTAATGTAAATGTTATTCAACCAAATATCTTTTACAAGTTATTTTCTTTGCACATGTATGCATTTTAATTGTAGAAGTCGGTTGTCTCTTAAAGGAAGTATCTTCACAGGAAAAATCATTATTTTGTGAACTCTGAAATGAATGAAAATTTTAAATACAACATCAGGGTAGCCTGTAAATGATACTAGAAATAAACTGACCTAAACACACTTAACCAGCCTGTTTTCCGTTTAGTTCTTTTCCATACATATTTTTTTCTCTTTTAAAACTTGGCAAGTTGCATTTTGAATCTTCATAAATTATGGTAACTTAATATATAAAATATGGAATGGTATAAAGCTAATGTTCTGGAAGAATCATTGCTTTCAAAATGGCAAATCAACAATTCTAAAATTAGGGTAAATATCTAGGGTAGATATGTAGATGTGGAATTGCTGTGTCAAAGGATAGGTGAATGTTTAACTATATAAGAAAATGCCAAAAGTTTTCTAAAGTGGTTGTGCCATTTTACCCTCCTACCAAGAATGAATTAGTGCTCCAGTTACATCCTTGCCAAGAGTTGATGGTGTTATCAGTCTTTTCTCCCAGTCTGAGTTTTACCTTTTCAGTTTCTTAATGGTGGTTTTTGGATGAGCAGCTTTTTTTTGAGACAAATTCTCACTCTGTCTCCCAAGCTGGAATGCAGTGATGCGATCTCGGTTCACTGCAAGCTCCACCTCCCGGGTTCATGCCATTCTGCTGCCTCAGCCTCCCGAGTAGCTGGGAGTGCAGGTGCCTGCCACCACACCCGGCTAATTTTTTGTGTTTTTAGTAGCAACAGGGTTTCACCATGTTAGCCAGGATGGTCAGAAGCTTTTAATTTTTATAAAGCTCAGTTTATTTTTTTTTTCTTTTATGGTTACTGTCTTATGTCTTTGATCTAAGAGATCTTTGCTTACCCCAAAGTCAGGAAAATATTCTACATTGTCTTTTAGAGGCATCATAGTTTTAGTTTTTACATTAAATCTGTCATTCATCTCAAATTAAATTTTGGCATGATGTTGTGAGTTCGGTTTCAAGATTTACTTTTTTTTTTTAAACATCTTGATAGCCAGTTGTGCCAGCACCACTGGTGTTTCCTTTTTCCATTAATCCACTTTGGTATCTTCATAAAAAATCAATTAACTTTCTATGTATTGGTCTGTTTCTGGACTCTGTTCTATCGATACGTTTGTCTGTTTTTCTGTTGGTATATTTCTCTTGATTGCTATAATTTCATGAAGTCTTGAGATCAGGTAGTGTGAGTCCTCCGACTTTGTACTTATTAACTGTTAATTTATTAATTTCTGCAGTGAAGTTTGTTGGATTTTCTCGAGAACTGTATTGAGTCCAGATCATTTGGGGGAGATCAACATCTTAATATTGGGCCTCAATATTTCATAATTTTCAATGTAGCCATCTTGCATGCCTGTTTAAACATTTATTCTTAAGTATTTTATAATTTTACATTACTGTCAATAGAACCTTTGAATTTGATTTTCCAGTTGTTTGCTGTCAGTATGTAGATATACAATTGATTTTTGTATAGTGACTTTGTAGTCTAAGTCTGTTTCACTTATTACTTCTAGTGGTTTGCTTATATAGAAAACTAAGAAATTTGCAATTATGTTTCCTGTGACTATCGTTTTACTTCTTTCTTTCTAATCCTTTTGTCTTGTCTTTCTTTTTATTGGTTTATTATACTGTCCAGGACTTCTATAGCATTGAACAGAAGTCATGAGAATGGGCATAATTGCATTGCTCTCAAGCTTAGGCAGAAAGCTTTCAGTAGTCCACCATATGGTATGACGTCTGTAGGATCTGCAGAGAAAACTTTTATCAAAATGAGGACATTCCTTTTAAAACTTTGTTTCTTGGGAGTTTTTATCATAACGATGTTTAATGCTGTCAGATGCCTCTTTCTGTATCTGTTGAGATGATTATACAGCTTTCTTCATTCTGCCAGTGGATTATATTGGTTTCATTTTCAACTTTTAAACTAACTTTACATCCCTGAGATAAACCCCACTTGGTTGTGGTGCGTTGTCCTTTGGGATATTGCTAGATTTGATTTCTAGGTGTTTGTGTTTTTTGTTTTTTTTTAAGATTTCTATATTGGTGTTGATGGGAGATATTGGACTTTTGTATCCTTTTCTTGTAATGTCTTTTTTTGATTTTGGTGTCAAGGTGATACTGGGTGTCACAAAATTAGATGGAAAGTGCTGTCTCCTTTCCTATTTTTGGAAATAGCTGTGTAGAGATGGGTATGAGTTGTTCTTTACATGTTTGATAGAATTCACCAGTGAAGTCAGCTGAACCCGGAGGGTTTTGTTTGGTTTGGTTTTAGTTTTTTGTGGGAAAATTAAAATTTTTTAAGAGATATTTTCAGATTTTTCTGTTGTGTCAGTTTTGGCAATTTGTGTCTTTTAAGAAAATTTCATCTAAGTTGTTGGATTTATTGGCATAGAATTGTTCAGAATATTCCTTTAATATGCTTTTAATGTCCGTAGAATCTCATCTGTATTGCAGTCTCTTCATATTGGTAATTTGTGTTTTTGCTATGTTTTCCTGGATCAGTCAGTCTAGCTGGAGGTTTCTCAATTCTTTACAAGATCATTTATTTTAGATCGTTAATGATCGTTTAGTACAGGTGTATTCAATCTTTTAGCTTCCCTGGGCCACAATGAAAGGAGAGGAATTGTCTTGGGCCACACATAAAATACACTAACGATAAGCTGATAAGCCAAAAAAAAAAAAAAAGCAAAAAAATCTCATAATATTTCAAGAAAGTTTATGAATTTGTGTTGGGCTGCATTCACAGCTGGCCTGGGCCACATGTGGCCCTCAGGTTGGACAAGCCTGTTTCAATATTACTTATTTTCTCTTTTTTTCATTTTCTATTTCATTTATTTTCAGTCTTTTATTTTTTTCCTCCCTTTAACTTATTTTCAGTTTACTTTGCTCTTGTTTTATTGCTTCTTAGGAAGGGAGTTAGATCTCTTCATTCCACTTTAGTTTCAGTTATAGTCAACACATTTTGTTTTCATTTTCATTCCATTCAAAATATTATCTAGTTTTCCTTGTGATTTTTCTTTTCATGGACACGTGAGTTATTTAAAAGTATATTGTTTTTAATTTCTACTACATAGAGATATTATAGGTATGTTATTGTTGCTGATTTCTAATTCATTTATAGTATAGTTGGAGAACATACTTTCTTAGTGAATTTCCATGTAGACTTGAATGTGTATTCTGCAGATGTTGGTTCAGGGTTTTTTGTTTGTTTGTTTGTTTGTTTTTTTGGAGATGGAGTCTCGCTGTTGCCCAACAGGCTGGAGTGCAGTGGTGCAATCTCGGCTCACTGCAACCTCCGCCTCCCAGGTTCAAGTGAATCTCCTGCCTCAGCCTCCGGAGTAACTGGAATTACAGGCACCTGCCACCACACCCGGCTAATTTTTTAAATATTTTTAGTAGAGACAGGGTTTCACCACGTTGACCAAGCTGGTCTCAAACTCCTGACCTCAGGTGATCCTCCCGCCTCGGCGGGATCCAGGCGTGAGCCGCGGTGCCCGGCCAGTTCAGTGTTCTTTAGATGTCTGTTAGATCAACTGGTAGAGCTTGTGACTATGCATATCTTCTGTGTCCTTACTGATTTTTTACTAATGCTACAGTGTATTGATAGTTATGTTAAAATCTCCAGCGGTAATTCTAGATCTGTCTACTTGAGCAGTTTTTGCTTAAAGTATTTTGAAGCCGTCATGTGTACACATTTAGGATTGTTAAGTCTTCCTTATAAATTCAGTCTTTCATTTTCATAACATTTTAACCTTATTTCTGTTAAATGTCTTGATGCCTAGTCAAATTATTTGACCACCCTTTTGCTCCTGTCAAGCCTGGGCCTTTGTTAGTTTGTGCTTATTTATTAGGGTTTTGCTCGTAGACTTAGACAGTGACTCTTAGTCTAGGAAAGGTTCATCCTCATGGGCCTCAGCCACATGTTCTAGGTATACTTAGTGAGTTCTCTCCACTCTGCTGTGTCCCAAATTTGTGTGATCTCTGGCATCTCCAGTCAGCCCTCAGAAGTGCCAGCCACTCTGCAGAGGCCTTGTGGAGCCTGCCTGCTGCATGCACTCCCCCCAGCCCTTGGCCACGGACCTGCAGAGAACTTTTGCGTACTCTTTTGAGGCCTCACCTGTATGTAGTTCCCTCTTCTCCAGTACCTTATTCTATAAACTCCCAACATGTTAGCACTGTAAGACTCTCAGCTTAGTGACAGTGACATTGCCTCATTTCTGGAGGTCTCTACCTCTCTCCGTGTGGTCAAGAAACTGCCATTGGGCAGAAAACACAAGTGTGTATGAGATTTGCCTCCAGTGTTTTCCTGTTCTCAAATATCACAGTCCTGTTCTGCCTGTGTTCCAATCTCTGAAAACAGTTTTCTCAAATATTCTATCCAGTTTCAGTTTTCTCGTTGGTCATGGTGGGAGGGCAAGTCCATCTTGGCTGGAAGAGGAAGTCCTTCTGCGTCTTTTTCTCTTTGTCCTTCCACATGGTTTTGCATTGTGGATTTTCTAAACTTGCCGTATAAGTAAGCATGTGCCTATTTGTGAAGGGAAAGAAAAAAAACCTTTTAATTTTTTAAAGCTGTTCTGTTGGTTCCTCACAAGGATCTGAAGGGATTGGTAAATAGGATGAAAGAAATTCTGTCTTTCACATGGAGAAAACCAAGTGTGACATTAATAAAAACGAGCATGTCTGTAGGCAAAGAGTTTCACTGAGCTCTGCTAGATTCAGAAGCAGTTGGACTTACAACATCGTACTTTGCAAAACACATATATTTTATTTACCCAGGAACTAAAGCTAAGTCAGCTGTGGATTAATAGAAGGTCTGTGAAGGGTACTTAGACTACAGTAAGATTGGGGAAGAAAATTCCATTTCCAAATCTAAGATATATCATTCCTTTGTGCCAAGCACATAATGATAGTAGAGATTTAAGGGGGCCCTTAGCACGGAAGCACTGGGTTAGTCAGAAGGTGAGGTGAGCTGTCACACAGCCTTGATGCTAGAATGAGGGTGCCCTGGTACTATCTTATCAGCCATGACACTGGTGCATTGGGCCATTTTTTTGTTTTGTTTTTTTTGAGACAGGCTCTTGCTTTGTTGCTCAGGCTGGAGTGCAGTGACATGATCGTGGCTCAGTGCACCCTCGACCTCGTAGGCTCAAGCAATCCTCTCACCTCCGACTCCCGAGTAGCTGGGACCACAGGCTCGTACCACCACACCCAGCTAATTTCTTAATTTTTTTGTAGAGATGGGGGTCTCCTTTTGTTGCCTAGGCTGATTTTGAACTCCTGGGCTAAAGTGATTCTCCTGCTTCCACCTCTCAAAGTGCTGGATTACAGGCATGCCAGACATATGTAAACATTCTAAACTATGTGACAATATGTGTAAAGCTTTCTCATGCATTGTGAGACAACACAGCAGGAATATTTCACCATCTGCCTAAGGTTTAAAAGGAAATAACTTTAAGCATGTGTCTAAATAGCAAGTAATGTTTTAGAGCGGATTCTCTTAAATTCAGCTTGGGCATCTGCACCATATACACAGCTTGAGCTGTCACCTGACGTAGAGACAGGCAACTTCAGTGCCCGTGTTCATAGGATCCACTGCTTTCTCACAGCTAAAACCCCAGAGTGGCACCATTAAGTATTATGTTATGTTACTTTAGTCGATAAACATATAAGCATACCTCCAAAGGTTGAATGTAGGCCACTTGCAGAAAGTAGGCAGAATGCTCACATTTAATTCTTGATGATACTGTGTTTATATTTCTTATTCTTTGAAATTGCATTGAGAAAAAATACTGGCATCTGCTCAAAGTAATTTCTTTTTCAGTTGACAATATTAAAGTAACGTTATTGTATCATTTCCCTACTTGGACAGAGTGTGAAAATTTTAAGGAGCTTGTCTGCCAGAAATTTCTTCTTCATTTGCAAAACATTAATGAGTTATTATATTTAAATGATTTTATTTAATATTAAGTGTACTTGGTCAATGTGGCATAGAACATACAAAATAAATCTAATTTAAAATCATTAACTATTATATTTATAAGAAAGACTTGCTAATCATAACACTGTTGATAATGATTCTGAATAAAGCATTATTTCTTTTCCTGAAAACAATTGTAGCTATAATTCAATCATCTAAATTGCTTATTAGTTTTATTTCTTTTTAATTGTCTTTAGCTGAAATTTTAATTTTGATTAATTTTCTTTTTCTCCATTGGTTTTGTGTGTGTGTGGAGGTAAAATATACAGAATATAGAATTTGCCAGTTTTTCTATTTTTACGTGTATGCTTCAGTGGCATTTAAATACATGCACCATTTTACCTTCCCACCAGCATTGCACAGGGTTTCCGTTTCTCCACATCCTGCCCAACATTTGTTTTTCTGGCTTTCTTGGTTTCTGTTTTTTGTTTGTTTGTTTGTTTTGATAATAGCTATTCTAATGGGTGTGAAGTGGTATTGCATTATGGTTTTGATTTATATTTCCCTAGTGACTAGTGATGTTGAGCGTCTTTTCAAGTGCTTATTGGCCATTTGTATATCATCTTTGGAGCAATGTCCGTGTATATCCTTTGCCCAGTTTTGAATTGTGGTATTTGTCTTTTTGGAGTTCTCTATATAGTCTGGATATTAATTCCTTATAATGTATGTAGTTTACAAATATTTTCTCCATTCCCTGGGTTGCCTTTTACTCTGTTGATGGCGGTTCTTGATGCACAAAAGTTTTTAATTCTGATGAAGTCCAGTTTGTCCACGTTTTCTTTTGTTGCCTGTGCCTTTGATGTTCTACATAAGAAATCATTGCCAAATTCATGTCGTGAAGCTTTTCCCATTTTCTTCTAAAAGTTTTCTAACTTTAGCTCTTACATTTAGGTCTTTGGTCTGTTTTAAGTTACTTTTTGTATTTGGCATTAGATAAGGGTCCAACTTCATTTTAGCTAAAATTTTATGTATTTTAAAATTTATTATGGAAAGCATGAAATGTTTAGTTGAATAGAAAATTTTGTGCAGTGGAATTAACTGAATCTTTAAAACCTTTTTATTATGGAAATATCCAAACTATTCCATACATAGAAGAATATAATGAGTCCCCCATGTGCCCAGGCCCCAGCATTAATTATCAATATTTTGCCAATCTCATTTCATTTACACACACGCCCCCACACACATTTTTTCTTAGAAAATTTTAAGTAAAATCACAGATGTTATGTCATTTTACCCATGAGTACATAAACGTACATTTCTTAACGTGGTATGTCTTTCTGTCATCACCTGTTTTGTTCTTTATTTTTATATATTATACTATGTCATTATCAGACCTTGTAAAATTAACAAGAATTCCTTAATATGTCATATCCAGTTAATGATTGACTCATTTCTACTCTAGCTAAAGTACAATTTAGGAGGAGGTTTGAGGATATTTTTTAACATTAAGATATAAACTTTTATAACAACGGCTTAAATAATTGTTCCTAGAGTCTAATATTTCTATTGGCAAATTGGAAATTAGTATACATAGACATAGATTCTGCTCATTTTACTTTCAATCTAAAATCATAGTTAAGATTACTGGCCAGGCGCGGTGGCTCACACCTGTAATCCCAGCACTTTGGGAGGCAGAGGCGGGTGGATCACGAGGTCGGGAGTTTGAGACCAGCCTGGCCAATGTGGTGAAACCCCGTGTCTACTAAAAATACAAAAAAAATTATTCAGGCATGGTGATAGGCGCCTGTAACCCCAGCTACTCGGGAAGCTGAGGCAGAGAATTGTTTGAACCCGGGAGGCAGAGGTCGCAGTGAGCCGAGATCGCATCACTGCACTCCAGCCTGGGCGACAGAGCGAGTCTCCGTCTCAAAAAAAAAAAAAAAAAGATTGCTATGCTAGAAAGTCTTCCTGTAGAGGCATTTTTAAGAAACATTATGATAGGCATTGGCTCTGGAAAGCAGGCATGAAATAGATGACTGGGGTCTATCATGAGAGAGACCATTCTCTATATGTCACTTTGTACCTTCACATGTTGCCTCTTGTTTTGTTTTGGTCTTTTTTTGAGACAGGACCTTGCTCTGTCACTCAGGCTAGAGTGCAGTGGCATGATCATAGCTCACTATAACGTTGAACTCTGGGCTCAAGTGATCCTCTTTCCCCAGCTCCCCGAGTAGCTGAGATTACAGGCATGCACCCCCATGCCTGGCTGTATGTTGCTATTTTATGTTTTAAAAACCTAATCCTGACTGTGCTGGTAGTCGCATGAATCTCTGCACATACATGCAAACAAGTACATGTAAAACTGGTGAAATCTGAATAAGCTTCATGGATTATATCAATTTCAGTTTCCTGATTCTGACAGTGTATGATACTTATGCAAGATTTAATCGAGACAAAGTGAGTAAAGGATATGTGAGATCTTTGTATTATTTCTTACAACTGCAAAATAAGAAGTTTTTAAAATTAAGTTATAATAACAAAAAAAAGAACTCTGTGTCAAAACTAAAATATAAAGTTGAAATATTGATTTTATTTTTTAGGAATCTGGTGGACAGTAACAAACTTTGGTGAAATTTCAGGAACCATAGCCATTGAAATGGATAAGGGAACCTATATACATGCACTCGACAATGGTCTTTTTACCCTGGGAGCTCCACACAAAGAAGGTTTGTGTCTGGAAGGGAAGAGGCTGCCACAAGTGTAGATTTTAGGACATTCATTCACTTAGGCCAAACTCTAACTAGTCTCAAACATTTTCCAAAGGAATGGAACCATTGCATTTGACTCTTCCATTTTTTTTTAATTCCTTAATATTTACCAGCCATTGGCAAGTCCCTCTTTCTAATATAAGCATTTGAAAACATTCCGTATAGTTCCAGAAGAGTATCTTTGGAAATCAAAATAACATGAATAATTAAAATAGTAAGTGGAAAGAAAAAAGAAAACCTATTTGAGTCAAAATGTTTGAATTTCTTTTTTATTCAGACCTATTGCCAAAACTAACCTGGGTGCGTTTAACAGTTTGAAGTTTCCTCATTTTCTTTAGCCCATTAGAGGAAGCACTAATGAGATATGAAGTAATTAGAAGATAAAAAGCAGTATCATTTGGTCAGCAAGGCCATCCCTTGAATAAGTGAAAGCATTTAGCTTTTTAAATAAGTGCTTATTTATGACTGTATTTTAAAACATAAAGAGAAGCTATCTCAAAAGTTATTAAATAAGCATTATATCACCCTGTCTTACTCAGTGTATAAAATTAACACTGTAGTTAAAAGAAGGTAAAATAGATCTTGATTCCAAAGATACAGTATTACAGTGACATCAGTATATCTGAATATTCTTACATTTAATTGCAGAAGAAAATAGCCACATTTTTTAAAACAAAATAATGTCTTTATATTTATAGCAAATGTCAAATTTATTTTCAAATGTTTTTTCTCCAATAGTTGATGAGGGCCCTAGTCCTCCAGAGCAGTTTACGGCTGTCAAATTATCTGATTCCAGGTGAGCTTATGTTGTAATATAATTAGTAACCAGTTATTTTAAAAATTTAATTGTATTCATTAAAAATTTTAGTATCTGTCTTAAGCCCACAGGGTAATTTTGATGTAAAAAACAAAATAGCTTTTTTGAAAAGTAGATTTTGTGATCTACTTTTAATGGATTTCCTATCAATATATAATGCTAGGCTGGAAAAAAAAATAAGTTAAAAAGTGAAGATTAATAATTTCACATACCGAATAAGATAGATTAAAAAATGAATCAAATAGTACAAAACCTGGTTCACTGTTGCTGTGATATTTAAACTCACTGTTTGGAAGTCCAAAGGCAAACAGGAAGACTAAAAAAAGGAATATTGTTGAAACCAGCAGAGAATGTTACAGAATCATAACGACCAAAAGAATATTTTTACTCACTATTTTTACAGTCATTTTATAAAGTAACCTTTTTTATTCTCACCTTGTGCAAAAGTATAGAACGATTCTTTGGGCAGAAGATACTGAAAGTGAATTTACATATTTTAGTAATTGGTTACATCAATATGATAATGATTTCTGTTATATAATCATTAATGTATAAAGGAGTAAAAGTCAATTCTGGCATCCCAGGAGATTCTCGGTAAGGTAAAAGATTAGAAATCATAATTTTAAAAAATCACATTAAGATGATTATTTCTGTACTTTCTTTGAAAGTCTGATAAGTATGGTGAAAGACAGAATAAAAGCAGAGGAAGAAAAAATTCAATAGTTTTAAACTGCTTTACAATTATAAACAAAAAAGGATTATAAAGAAAATTAACTGACAAATGAGGAAAATATTTGCAACAATCTTAATAGGCAGTGAGTTCTTACTCTTCATATGTATCTTGTATAGAATTCATAGCACTGATGACCCCAGTAGAAAAACTGCGAACAATCAGATCTCAATAGAAAAATGGACAAGGGACATTACCAGATAATCTAAAAACTAAAAAGGAAAGGAAAAGAAAAACAATTGTTATTCTAGTTAACTACTAAAATGCAAATTTATAGGATACTGTTTTTTCCATATCAGGTTTTCAAGTATTTTTTTAAAGTCATAATGTTTAAAAAAAAATGCGTGATACAAAACATACTCTGTTAATTTGAGGTAAGAATGTAAATGGAAGCAGCATTTTCTGGAAAACAGTTTGATGACATAAGAACTTTATACTCTTCGATCCAGTTATTTCTAGGAATTTTTTCTAAGGATAAAGCAGTTTTATGTACAGAATAGATGTACATAGAACTATTTATAATAAGAGAAAAAGTAAGTTTTAGTAATTTATTCTTGAACTTTATAACTAAAGAGGTATAATTGAAGAATGATGAATTTCAAAAATATTTGTTATGTAATATATAAGGTACAATGTTTATATTAAAAAAGCACAATATAAAACTAAATTTAAAACTGCACTGTCCAACATGGCAGCAACTAGTCACATGTAGCTTTTTTCTTTTTTTTTTTTTTAAAGGCACAGAGTCTCACTCTGTCACCCAGGCTGGAGTGCAGTGGTGTGACCGTATCTCACTATAACCTCAAATTTCTGGGCTCAAGCAATCCTCCTGCGTCAGCCTCCCAAGTAGCTGGTATCACATGTGCATGCCGCCATGCCCAGCTAACTTTTTAAATTTTTTGTAGAGATGGGGTCTCACTGTGTTGTCCAGGCTGATCTTGAACTTCTTGCCTCAAGCAATTCTCCCGTTGGCTTCCCAAAGCACAGAGATTACAGGAGTGAGTCACCACTCAGCCACATGCAGCTTTTGAAGACTTGGAATATGTGCAGTCTGAAATTTTAGATATGTACACAGCCACACACATACGCATGTCCTGTTTTGATGTCCTATAATTAATTTTCTCTCAGTCTTTAACTTTTATCTATGTTATTAATGTACAGAATCGCCCTGAAGTCTGGCTATGGAAAATATCTTGGTATAAATTCAGATGGACTTGTTGTTGGGCGTTCAGATGCAATTGGACCAAGAGAACAATGGGAACCAGTCTTTCAAAATGTAAGTGCTGTTATTGTTTATAAAAACTTCCTGTCAGTTTAACAGAAAGTCTGTTAACAGTCAATCATAATATATTTAAAAAGAAAAAGTAGGATGCAATAGTGTAATACATTAAATAGGAATAAATCAATAAGAACATAGAGCCTTAAAGAGATCTCAAAATATAGTGCAACAAAAATCGCATTAGTCCTTTTGCCCACAATTATTTCTGTATACCCTTAGTGCCTAGATATGGATCTCATTTCCATTGAAGAACCAGTCAATTTTAGGTCTCAGAGTAGGAAAACAGAGTAGTTCCTAAGTATCTTTGTAGCAGAAATCATGGATGCTTTCAGAAACATTAGAGACTGTAAGCGAACAGTGGAGCTTGCTAAGACCAAGTTGTGACAATTTGTGCATAAAATAAATAATAATAGTTCATTGAAGTAAATTATCTCTAAAAGACTTTCAGTTCATAAGCTTAAAATAGCATACGAAAAGATAGTTTTAATATAAGAAGAAAAAAGATAATATACTAATTCTTAATTTTAGTAAGTAGACAGTTGTATATGGATGTTTTGTTAAATCTTTGTTGACACAGAATACATAATTTCCTTTTTCTGTTTGTGTGAGAAGTAAAGATTGAACAAAAATATGTGAGTGCTAAACAGTCTTTAAAAAGTAGATAACTTTATCAAAAACAGTAAGGACCAATGGGCACCACGCAGAGCAAGCAAATAGAAGATAAGCTTAGCCTTTGAGTAGCAGCTTTGGTAGTATACACTAATGAATTGAAAATAGGAACTCAGCAGTGTTTTCTAAGATGACAGATTAAACAAACATCCCTCCAGAAAGAGGTAATCACTTAGACTAATTTCCTCATCCCCTAGGATAAAATCTTAACTCAGTGACTTGAAAACTATTTTGGCCCAACCCATTGAGAAATGCATTTTTACATTGCAGCCCAGCACACATGTATAACTGAAGCAAGAGTTGTACTTAACAATACTTACTTATCCATGTGTTATGCACCTTGATATTTCTTATTCTCTTTTACCCCTTCCTCTGTGAGTCTGTGTGTATTCCTTCCCCCGCCCCCCATACCGTACAGGAAACAACACTACATTGATTTCATGACCCGCTAATGTGTTGCAACCCCTTTGAGATGATCCTACTAGTTAGGATGAGATACTTCTAATAAAAGTTACACCGGTAGAAAAGGCCAATATATCATAAGGCCTTAGATGATGACTTAGATAGTACTAATAATACAACACTTTAGGAAAGTTCGTTTCATTTTATTTTTAGGAAGGACACTAAGTTTCAAAAATTTAAATTTAAATGAAAGAGGGTCTTAAAACTATTGCAAAAGGGACTCAGCTGAATAATCTGTGGCACAGGTTTAAATCGTCTTGGACCACACCACCATGTTCCAGGGCTCACCAGGAGCCATCCAGATGAGAGACCACCCAGCCCTTGTGACCTTGACTAAGAAATTAAATCCATGTTATCAGCACTTTTTTAACTTGATGTGATATAAGGTTAACATATTTTGTAATCATTGTATTTATAAATATTTTGTCTAAATGTTATGGTATTCCAAGTTTTCCAAAAGAATCAACCAAATACAAGTTATAAATAAACATTATATTTGTTAAGGGAGTTAAGCTAACCAAATTTATAACCCAGATTTAGATACACAAGAAAATCAGTCTTTAAAGTTTTAATAGAAAGCAGTGTAATATATCAAACATTAAACAACTAAAAAAGTATATGAATATTTATTTTCACACACAAAAGTCCCTCAGACATTGATTCTTAAATTCAAAACACCAAAGCATTGTATGTACCTTTTCATGTTTTCTAATTGTGAAGAAAATAAATTTTACTTAAAATGCTAATATTTGAATAAAGTATGCATTCATAATTATGTTCTTGTCTTTAAAGTTAATTTTTCAAACTGAACTAAATCAGTTATGTCTTCAGTAGATCTTTTAGAAAGGAAGCAATCCTACCTCATCTACTTAGAATTTAGTCCTACTAGGAAGATACACTACAAATGTTTATTGTGGTAATCTTTGAATAGTAAAATGATAGGTGATTTTGGTTTCTTTTCTATATGTTCTTGTATTATATTTTTCAGGTTTTTCTCTAAGTTCTTTTCTGTGATTTTTAAATCAGGGAGGAAAAATTAATTCAGTCTAAACACTTAATGTTTCTCCCACAAGAAGTATCCTCATGGCTATTTTGTTATTTGTTTCACTTAGGGGAAAATGGCTTTGTTGGCCTCAAATAGCTGCTTTATTAGATGCAATGAAGCAGGGGACATAGAAGCAAAAAGTAAAACAGCAGGAGAAGAAGAAATGATCAAGGTAATGATGACATTTTATACAGATGACTGCATTCACACATGCGATGTGACTGTATCTCTTTAAAATGTTAAATGGTCATTTACTGTCACTTTAAAGATTTACTTAATAGCTTTTTATAATGTGGTGTTTCAAATAGACTCATTTTTAATTATAAATCCCATAGTTGATGTCTTGTTTATACAATGTGGTAGAGAAATGAGTGCATCTAGGAGCTACCTTGCCATTATCTCCATGGATTAGTATCTTCTTCTGGTAGTTCCACATGCTCTTTTTAAGCTTTCATTTTCTTGTTTTCTTGCTTGTATTTTAAAATCTAATTTTTAAAATAGATAACATGTACACGTGGTCCAACATTTTCAAATAAAAGCATGTGAAGACGTATGCCTGCCATGCGTCTTACTCACCTGTGTCCCAGCACCTGTTCGTCTTTCCCTTTGTTTTTTTATAGCCTCCTAAAATTTCTTTATAAACATATGAATATGTTTATAATTTTCAACTGTTTTACGCTAAAGGTAGCCTCCTCTATAGTCTAGACTTCAATTTTTTTTTTTCCTTAAAATTGTATCTTGGAGAGTTTTCTACTATGAGTTTGAATGTAGAAAGTTTTCTCTTTTTCTTGCTTTTCCTCTCTTTCTCTCTCTCTCAACAGCCACATAATATTCCATTTCAGGGATGTACCTTAATTTATTTAGTCTTTTATAGATGGAAATTTAGGCTGTTTCCAGTCTTTTGCTCTTATAAACAGTGCTGCAGTACATAACATTGAATATGCATCAGTTTGTAGATGTGCGGGTGGACCTGAAGGTAAATTTCCAGAAGCAGAATTACCAGGTCGGGGTATATGCGTTTGTATTTACGTAATGCTTGAGCTTCTGTGATGATAATCACTCTATGAAACATAAAAAATCATAGCAGAACTTCTGGGGCCTTAGCCCTCAGATTTTAAAAATATTTTTATTAATAGTACCCGTCTTCTTTGCATTAGGAGAAACATGAATCACATAAAACATGATTTTTATTTTATTTTTAAAATTTGTGTGCGTCACTAAGCTGGAAATAAAAGTTCCTTATTCCAGGCTAAATTCCCTCATCCGTAGTCAGACGCGTTATCCATTGCACCAGTGGCCTGTGCCCTCTCTAATCCTACTCTTTGTTTTACATCATTGTAAAAGTTACACAGACATCTTCATATCAAGGTGAAATTCTAAATAATACTGTTAATATAACCTAGATAAATCAAGTAGTTAATTGGAATCTGATGAAAACATTTAAGGCTTAATTTTTTAGACTCACAGAAGCCACTGATCTTTAATGATAAACATATACCAGGATGTGTCTAAAGAATAACTCCCCACTTCTTGACACATGGCTTTTCTGTGTCTTGGCATTCCATCTCAGTACTGAGCATCCTGAACCTTGCTTTGTTTGTCTCTGTTGGGAATCACAGGTTGCATCCAGTCTGACCCAGATTTCCTCTGTAAGGCATTGTGGGGGCCAGAGTGGAAGGCTCTAAGAGAGGGGGCAAGTGCCTTTTCTAAAATGCCCTTCGTTCTTATAATTAGAGCATAAAAATTTATGTTACATTTTTCTCTACTACCAGTGCAATTTAAAAGCATCTATCAAATCTCTGTACATACTTCATGTTAGATTTCCTGTCATAAGTTTGATTTTCTTTTTAGAATAGTCTTGATTTCAAATAATTTCAAATCTAAAGCTCAAACAATTTCAATCTAAAATGTAGGTATTTTCTTACAGAAGGGAAATGTTATATTTTTTCATTGCATGCACCCAGCACATGCGTTGTAGTCTTGAATTTCCATAATGCCCCTGTGAGGTGGATGTGAGCTCAGCATTACAGACAAGAAGACAGCCTCTGACCCTCCTTACATCCTCGTGGTTTTTGTCAGTCAGTTCATGGAAATCACAGTGATTTCAAGGTGTGGTAAGACAGGATGTGTACCCAGGCCCAGCTGACTCCAGAGGCCACTCTCAATATTTCATAGCACATTGCTTCTCAGGAAACAGGTCATTGGGGAAATGCAGATGGGTTTGTGACTTACATTTAATTTTATTTATTTATATTTTATTGTATCATGTTTAAATTATTTTGCATCTGGATATCATCACAAAAGTGTTACTGAAGGCAACAATTGCAAATATATGTGCAGTGCTTTGCACTTATACAAAGATACAAAGATACTTACACAAAGATTGCCTTTTTCACTATTTAAAGCAATTTTCAGACGAAATACAAAGTTTTCTGGGTCTCTTTGGTTAGTCAAGTACCTGGAAGCTCTGAACAGTGATTATTTAGGACTCTTTTCCTTTACCATTTAATTGCAGGCTCTCCTAATCTCTGTCAGCCCTTCACCTTTATGACCTTGCCTTATCTACCAGAACACAGATCCCTCTTACTAAAGGTAGCCTTGTGTTACCTCTGTCAGCCCTTCAGCTTTATGACCAGAACACAGATCCCTCTTACTAAAGGTAGCCTTGTGTTACAGGCCCTAGCAGGGAATGTTTTCAGGTCTGGGACCCCTCTAATCAGAACTGTCACAAAGATGTCATTTGCACAAACACGTTATTTGTCATCACTTTCTAAGCAGCCCTGTAACTGGACTCTGGCCACAGAGATCCCTTAGGAGACATGAGTCCTTACCATTGCTAATTGCCTGTTCTGTGGGTGATCCTAATTGTTGAATGCAGATTAATTAACTTATGACATGTGGTAGTAAACATCTATCCAAACTTAGGAGGATATAAGAAGCTAGTAAAAGAGGTGGGTTCCAATTAGTTAAAAACAAGTTGTGTAATGTTAAAAGTTTTAATACTTTGGTAATAGTCTGTGCAACATAAAATAGCTATTAAGCTTTCAATCCGATCAAATGAACACTTGTCTACTAGGGATAATTTGATCCTAGTGTATTCACTTGGAGGACAAAATTAAATTAGTTAATGATCGCTTTATTTCCTAGCAGGATCTGATGTGTAAAATGTTTCTGAAATAATTTTGTCTGTAGTGTTTCTGACACAATGCTGTGGAGGAAGCATGTGATAGCACTTACTCATATAGATTATATATATGAAGTAAAAACACATAGCCAGAACCTTTTTCTGAATATAGTTGCTCAGTTAATTTTTTCTTCTGCATAAGAAATCATCTCGAATGTTCTTATGTGATACGTAAAGTGGGGAAGGTGGAAGATAAACATATAACCCATTGGATTCTCTTTTCCAATATCTAGATTAGATCCTGTGCTGAAAGAGAAACCAAGAAAAAAGATGACATTCCAGAAGAAGACAAAGGAAATGTAAAACAATGTGAAATCAATTATGTGTATGTATTCTTTTCCTTTTAGACCTACAGATTTGACAGTGAAGTGCTTCTCAAAGTGCTTTCAAAATAAATTACCTACTTAGCTGGGCATGGTGGTACATGCCTATAGGCCCAGCTACTCGGGAGGCTGAGACAGGAGGATTGTTTGAGCCCAGGAGTTCAAGGCTGCAGTGAGCTCTGATCACCACTGCCTTCCAGCCTGGGTGGCAGAGCAAGACCGTGTCTGAAAAAATGAAACTGATGGACAAGAAGAGACGACACAATGTAGCCTCTAGGACAGAGCACTGAGCTAAATGCTTTTCTTTTCTTGAGGCTTCAGTTTTCCTAATCATCCTACCACCTCCCAAAGCTAGTCACTCAGGTTAGTCAATCTCTCTATTCATTCATAGAATGGGTGTGATGCCAGTCAAAGGCTGTGCTATGGCCAGGACACAGGGGACTCTAGCCAGCATGCCCTAATAGAAGTGGGGCCTTGTGCTACCCAGTCAATGAGTGGCCCTCCTCTTGAGAGGTCATGAAGGTCATCTTTGTTGAAAAGCTCCAGCTTATTTAAAAAAATACAATTAGACCTTTTTTTTTCTCCCCCAAGATGGAGTCTCGCTCTCTCCCCCAGACTAGAGTGCCATGGCGCGATCTCGGCTCATCGCAACCTCCGCTTCCCAGGTTCATGTGATTCTCCTGCCTCAGCCTCCCGAGTAGCTGGGACTACAGGCGCGTGCCACTATGCTCGGCTAATTTTTGTATTTTTGGTAGAGATGGGGTTTCACCATGTTGGCCAGGCTGTTCTCGAACTCCTGACCTTGAGCGATGTGCCTGCCTTGGCCTCCCAAAGTGCTGGGATTGCAGGCATGAGCCACTGCGCCTGGCCTACAATTAGACTTTTTTACAAGTGAAAAAGAAATTAACAGTATTTATAAATTTAATAGTAAATATGTATAATCAGAGTTTGAGGTATTTTTCAATGAAGACATTTTCTTTACAGAAAGAAATTTCAGAGCTTCCAAGACCACAAACTTAAAATAAGTAAAGAAGACAGTAAAATTCTTAAAAAGGCTCGGAAAGATGGATTTTTGCATGAGACGCTTCTGGACAGGTAGCTATTTATTTACTTATTTCCACTATTTTCAGTAGCCAATAGAAATGGCATGTAGAAAACCTACATTCTCTTAAATTACTGTAGTTTTTCACATTTTTGTCTTTATTTCTAATTTATGAGTGTGGCAATATTACCTAAAGAGGACATCGTAAGTTTGGGAAAAGACTGTCATGAAAGAATATCTAAAAATTATAACCGATTCTAAGTATATACTTGAAGAAATTCAGGTTTGACTGTATCTACTTCATAAATTTATCATCTTTTTATAACTATTAGAACCAGAGTTAGAAGCAGTTTGACTAATATAAAAATTATGTGGATTCTGTTAGAGTAGTTCAGGTTCCTTAAAATAAGAATAGATCAACTAAAAAACTAAGTATAAAAGCTAAACAAGTGAAATTGAAGCAGTTTTATTATAAGATTTGGAAGAGTGCAGGATGTTTATCATACCACATTATTAATATTTATTACTCTTCCTAGGTAGATAAGTAATGTCCTAGATTTATGACATAGAAAAACAGAGACGTTTAGCTG